>NC_000002.12:29812125-29964875 GCF_000001405.40 Homo sapiens | reverse complement strand
CTGCATGTAAATGGTCTGAAAGCTCAATGCGTAGTATCACTCAATGCCAGCTCTTACTGGCAGTATTGTTACTCCGCCAGAACACTTTAGATGATGACAAGGAGAATCTTCCAGAAGCTGCGGCTCCCTGCAGCTGACCAGCAGCTCTGCGTTGGGCTCAGCTCTCTGGCCAGATGTAGATGCAGGTGCCTCCCGTAATTCTGGACTTGTTCCCTGAGACCTTTTAGGAAAACGAAGGGGGACTCACAGTAGCTGCGTCTCCTATTCGGGATGTCCAGTGGACTTAAAGCGCTCAAAGTCATGTCTAAAAACTGTGTGTGTAACACATGGTTAAACCAGGCACAGGGTTCCTCTGTCCCCCAACCCCTTAACTCAGGGCCCCCCACCCCCACAAAGGGGCTGCTGCTGGGGCTCAGGATCCCAGATCACCCCCTCTGGCCCATCCCTGATTAGCATTGCAGATTTCTCAAGCCAGAACCTGCCTAATCCTAGCTTGAAGCTTTAACCAGGTAAACATTTAATGAGCCCTGGAGCATAGTGGGCTCAGTCCTGGGGGTGTCAGGAGGGAGGAGAGCAGCCCCGTGACAGGAGGCTGGAGAAGCAGTTGCTGCTTGGAGCTGCCATCTCTGCACTCCCCTTCCCACACCCCACTCCCTGCTTGACTCACTTCCAAGCCTTGACTGTCCCAGCAGGCTCTACAGGGGTGAGCACAGGGGGCTGACTCCTGCATCTCAGAGCTGTGGCTTTAACTTTCATCAAGTCATTGATGGCCCCTGACTGAGGCAGGGCGGGAGTGGGAACCTGGCCTTTGATATAATTGGGGAGCCACTAGGAGGGCTGGACTGATGGGCAGGAAGGGCCCCTCCAGAGCAGCCTCCTTGGCAGATCGCAAGGGGAAGGTCAGAGCACCAATGAATGCTGCTCTTTCTTTCCCCAAGGTCCTGTGCCTGGCAGGCTCCAGGAGTCTGGGGGGACTCTGAAGGATCACGATCCCCCAGGACATAGGCCCCAAGAGGACATCTCCAGTGGCTTATGGGACACAGTGAAATAAGACCATTTCCATCTATGTTATGTACTATGTTGAGTTTCCTAGTATGCCGATGAGGTGGGCGAGCCACATTTACAACCCCAGTTTATGGATGGGGTGACTGAGGCCTAGACAGAATAAATGAAGTGTCTGATGCTGCTGAGTCAGGCAGGGCCAAGACTAGAATCAGAACTCAGGTCTTAGGGCTGCAGTCAGTGCTCTTCCTGAGGGAGCCCCTGCCCTGAACTCACAGGTCTCCTCTGTTCCTGGGAAGGTTTGTGGAGAGGTCCTAAAAGGCAAACGGGGCCCCAAAAGTGGGCACCTGTGACATCAGTGCTAGGCAGACTGGACAGAGGAGCAGGAAGAGGTCTGGAGCCCCACTCGGCCAGGCAGCTGGGGTGGTCAGATCCTCTCCAGAGCCTGCTTGCCTCCTCTGGAGAACTGGTAGAAAGAGGGCTGCTCACCATGTGTTTTGAGATTGTTGTAAGAATGAAATGATAGGAGATGGGCATGAAGGTGTCTTGTACATTGTAAACAGACATAGAAACGAACAGTGTAACTAACATAGAGTCAAGCCGAAAGGAACCAGGTTGGGGACACTTACAGCAGAAAACAAAAAGGTAAGAAGGAAGGAGAGCTTTAAGATGGGGTTGGCTTTCTTTCCTTATTCCTCTCCATCTACTGCCTATGGGCTGTCTTTGCTTTCTGTGTGAAATGTGCTGACCTTTTTTTTTTTTTTTTTTTTTATCCAGAAGCTTCAAGACCAACTTTAAGATGAAAATGATTTTATGAGGCAGAATCTCAGTGTAAATTCCGAATTTTTCCTGAATTTCTGATTTTAAGCACGTTATTATGTTGATATTTTTTAATACCAGTCTCTCAATTCCCAAGAATACAAATTAGGTATTTATCTGTTTGACATTATACATTAAAGTAAAAACAATTTAATTTGGATTTGCTACTGTAATTTGCACACAGATACCACTTAAAAATCATGTCCTAAAAATATCAGACTTAGCTTGAACAAGTTTTAGTGGGAATATATTGCAAAGAAAAGGGAATAAATGCATCATATAGAATGTTATAAAATATAGATGCCTTAATCAATTTTAAGCACAGGTTTAGACTTCAATAAAGGAAAATGATCATGTGTGAGTGAATAATTATTTCAAATGTAGTTATAATTGGGATTACATTTTGGCTCACATGAAATTTTGTAAAACATGAGTTTTATGCAGCAAAGATGTTTTGTCATCAGTTCCCATTGTTTCTTTTAAAATATTATTGGAGGAGGGAAGACCTTTGCCAATGACTGCTTGCGAAGACCTAAGGGAATGGGTCAATATCATTAACGCTTAACTGAAAAAGAAACTGAAGCCCAGAGAACTTAAGTAACTCTCCTGAGGTTGCACCGGGAATCAAGGCCAGAGGATGCTGTTCCCTAAGTGTCCTGACTTCTGAGCTTGTGCGTTGGTCTCTAAAGTTTAACTGCTGCTCTTCACCATTACTTTTTGTTAGGAATGTCATCCGGTGATACAATCTCATTTTTTACTCCCTTTTATGACCTCATTTACAGAGCTAAATATGTTCTTTTTTCCTCCCATTAGTTTCAGATCATGTTGGAAGGAGACCCAGGGTTCTGGGAGTGTGACTTGGTCCTAGCATATGAGTATGAAGTGGTAGAGGGGTCAGAGGGTGATGCAGCAGCGAGGTCCTGCAGCCCCTTACCCCAAACCCTGTGTCTAAAACTGCTTTGCTACGATTTGTCATATAGTCCGAGATCAGAAGAAAATTGAATTTGAAAAGAGGAGTTCACTGCCCCACAGAGAGTATGAAGAGCACTACTGAGAGCAAACCACCCTCCTTGGATTGATAGATCTAAGGTTGGGTGGGTCAAAGGTGGGAAAGGCAGGGCAGGGGCAGCTGTTATATCCAGTTGAGAGTGGGGAGGAGGAGGCCAGCAAAGAATGGGAACCTGAATGTTCTCACTCCAGGTGTGAATCTGGAGGAGCCCGGAGCACCTGCATCTCCCAGCTGCTTTGGGAGGTTTTGCTTATTTCAGGGAATCTGGAGCAGCAGCCAAAGGCTGCCTCAGAAACAAACAGGCTGTTTTCTGAAAGTAGGACATTTGGTGTCCTTAAAGGCAATATACCGTCAGCTCCCCACTTGGTACATTTACTTTAAAGGGAACAGAATTACAGAACTGTTCAGCGCTGAATGAAAGGTTTAGAGACATATACCATGAAGCAGTTCCAAACTCCATGTTGATGGGCTCAAATCCTTTCATCTTAGGATCTCAAAACACCTTACCTGGCATTAAGGGTGATTGCTTCAGCTTTACAGAGAGAAAATAGAGACAAAGAGAACAAATCCTGCTGGATGAGATAGTGAGTGGACAGTGAGTTGTGAATAAATCCTGGGGCTGAAGGAGACCTTGAAATGCTGTTGGAAATTTGATGGCATTCTTTCCTCTCCCTCTGTTATGGAGCTCGAAAAGAGAGGGGAGATTGCTTGCCTTAGAATCTGAATTTCATTGCCAGTGAAATAATCCTAAAGTGGGGAGTGGATGACAACTAAGAAACCCAAAATGAAAGCACATTCCACCCTTTGCATAGTTCCTAATAAAAATGAATAAAACATATGCTATACTTCATTGTTTACCCACCAATTCTCCTCCCACCAATTTATTGACAAGGCTTCAGCAAGAGATCCAGCACAGATAGCTGTGAGGATAAGTGATGGACTCTGTGCTTTTACTTTTATCTATTTCAGAGTCTAAGAATCAGCAATTAGATCATGAAAAGGGGGTGGTGGTGACTACTTATCCATGTCTTTGCTATGATGAATAGCACTGCAATGAAGATAGGAGTGTGTGTATCTTTTTGATAGAATGAATTATTTTCCTTTGTGTATATACCCAGTAGTGGGATTTCTGAGTCGAATGGTAGTTCTATTTTAAGTTCTTTGAGAAATCTCCAAGTTGCTTTCCACAGTGGACCTAGTTTGCATTCCCACCAACAGCATATAAGTGAACCCTTTTTGCCACAGTCTCACCAGCATCTGTTACTTTTTGACTTTTTAATACTCATCATTCTGATTGGTGTAAGATAGTATCTCATTGTGGTTTTAATTTGCATTTCTCTGATGAATAGTGATGTTGAGCATCTTGTCATATGTTGGCCATTTGTATGTCTTCTTTTGAGAGGTGTCTGTTCGTATCCTTTGCCTATGTTTTAATTGTGTTATTTGTTTTTTGCTTATTGACATGTTTAAGTTCCTTGCAGATTCTGGATATTAGACCTTTGTCAGATGCAAATATTGTCTCCCATTCTGTAGGCTCTCTGTTTTCTGTTGGCAATTTCTTTTGCTATGCAGATTTTAGTTTAATTAGGTTCCATTTGTCAATTTTTGTTTTAGTTGCAGTTGCTTCTGGAGACTTAGCCATAAATTCTTTGCCCAAGCTGATGTCAAGAAGAGTATTTCGTAGGTTTTATTCTAGGATTTTATAGTTTTAGGTCTTACATTTAAATCTTTAATCCATCTTGAGTTAATTTTTGTATATGGTGAGAGGTAGGGGTCCAGTTTCATTCTTCAGCATATGGCTAGCCAGTTATCCCAGCGCCATTTATTAAATACTTTACCTACTGCTTATTTTTATTGATTTCATTGAAGATCAGATGGTCATAGGTGTGCAGGTTTATGTGTAGGTTCTGTATTCTGTTCCACTGGGCTATGTGTCTGTTTTTGTACTAGCACCCTGCTGTTTCGGTTATTGTAGTCCTTTTTTTTTTGAAATGGAGTCTTACTTTGTCTCCCCAGCTGGAGTGCAGTGGTGCCATCTCTGCTCACTGCAACTTCCGCCTCCCAGGTTCAAGCAATTCCCCTGCCTCAGCCTCCTGAGTAGTTGGGACTACAGGCGTGTGCCACCACACCTGGCTAATTTTTGTATTTTTTTGTAGAGTCGGGGTTTCAACATATTAGCCAGGCTGGTCTTGAACTCCTTACCTCAGGCAATCCACTTGCCTCGGGCTCCCAAAGTACTGGGATTACAGGCGTGAGCTACCACCTGGCCAGGTTATTGTATTCTTAAAGTATAGTTTGAAGTCAAGTAATGTGATGCCTCCAACTTTCTTTTTTTGCTTAGGATTTCTTTGGCTATTTTGGGTGTTCTTTGGTTCTGTATGAATTTTAGAATATATTTTTCTAATTTTGTGAGAGATGATGTTTGTGTTTTGATAGGAATAGCATTGAATCTATAAATTGCTTTGAGCAGTATGGCTATTTTATTAATAACAATATTGATTCTTCTAATCCATGAACATAGAATATTTTTTCCATTTATTTGTGTTATCTCTGATTTCTTTCAGCAGTGTTTTATAGCTCTCCTTATAGAGAACTTTCACCAGTTTGGTTAGATAAGTTCCTAAATATTTCATTCTTTGGCTATTGTAAATCTTTGTCTACTTTTAAATGAGATTATTTGTTTTTTCTTGTTTAGTTCATTGTAGATTCTGGATATTAGTCCTTTGTCTGACACATAGTTTACAAATATTTTCTCCCATTCTTTAGATCATCTATTTACTCTATTGATTTCTTTTGCCATACAGAATCTTTTTAGTTTAATTAAGTTGCATTTGTCTATTTTTGGTTTTGTTGCATTTGCTTTTGAGGTCTTAGTCATAAATTATTTGCTGAGGCCAATGTCCAGAAGAGTTTTTCCTAGATTTTCTTCTAAGATTTTTATTTTGGGGGTGTAATGATATGGCTTGGCTGTGTCCCCACCCAGATCTCATCTTGAATTCCCACGTGTTGTGGGAGGGACCCGGTGGGAGGTAATTGAATCGTGGGGGCAGGTCTTTCCTGTGCTGTTCTCATGGTAGTAAGTAGACTCATGAGATCTGATGTTTATTAAAAGGGGGACTTTTCCTGCACAAGCTTTCTCTTTGCTTGCTGCCATTCATGTAAGACGTGACCTGCTGCTCCCTGCCTTCTGCCATGATTGTGAAGCTCCCCCAGCCATGTGGAACTGTAAGTCCAATAAACCGCTTTCTTTTGTAAATTGCCCAGTCTTGAATATGTCTTTATCAGCAGCATAAAAATGGACTAATTCGTAATCCTTTGTCAGATACATAGTTTACAAATATATTCTCCCATTCTGTAGATTGTCTATCTACTCTATCGATTATTTCTTTTGCTATACAGAATCTTTTTAGTTTAATTAAGTCCCATTTACTTTTGGGGTCTTATTCATAAATTCTTTGCCGAGCCCAATGTCCAGAAGAGTTTTTCCTAGATTTTCTTCTAAGATTTTTACAGTTTCAGGTCTTACATTTAAGTCTTCAGTCCATCTTGGATTAATTTTTGTATATGGTGAAAGATAAAGGCCCAATTTCATTCTTCTGCACATGGCTAGCCAGTTATCCCGGAACCATTTATTGAATACAGTGTCCTTTCCCCAGTGTATATTTTCATTGACTTTGTCAAAGATCAGTTGATTGTAGGTATGTAGCTTTATTTCTGCATTCTCTATTCTGTTCAATTGACCTATATGTCCATTTTTATACCGGTACCATGATGTTTTAGTTACTACAGCCTTGTGGTATAATTTGAAATCAGGTAATATGATGTCTCCAGCTTTGTTCTTTTTGCTTAGGACTGCTTTGGTTATTTGGGCTCTTTTTTTGATTCCATATGAATTTTGTGATTATTTTCTCTAATTTTATGAAAAATGATGTTGATTTGATAGGAATTGTTTTGAATCTCTCACCATGCCTGAGTTCTTATTTGAGACTGAAGGCCAATGCTGTTAGAATTTTAAATGTGGTTAAGACAACAACAAAAAGATGAAATATTTTGGAATAAACTTAATAAGAAGTGTGTAAATCTTATATGAAGAAAACCAAAAAACATTTTTGAGAGATACAGAATTGAGTAAGTGGAAGCACATCCCTGTTCTTTGATAAATATTTCAATATCATCAGTATGCTGGGGAAGTTAATTTATAAATTTAATATATCCCCCCAAAACTGATAAGATACTTTTTTGCCATAGCTTTACGGATGATACTGAAAGTCCACATGGAAAAATAAACATGCAAGTATAGCCATGAAACAGTGAAAAGAAATAGCTATGTTTGTGTGTCTGGGGGAGGGGGAGAAGTGGGGGAAGGAAGCAATAAGTCCAAGGAGACAAAATATACTGCAAAGTCTCTATCATTTAACAATGCAGTTCTGACAAACAGACAAACTAATGGAATAGAAAGTTTAGGAATCCACCAAATACATGTAGCAATTTAGTATATGATAAAGGTGGCATCTCAAGTCACTGGGTAAACATAGCTATTTTAATAAAAAATATGAGGCAACTAGAAATCCATATAGTAAATAATAAAATTAGATGTATACAATAAGCAGCAGTAAACTCTGGATGTATCAGAGGGAGAGTAGAATACTGGCCATGGTGGCATCAAGAAGTTGGCATATTCTCTGTCCCCAAAATACATATCAAACTGGACAAAAATCCTTTCAGGGATCTGGAAATCAACCAAAGGCTGACAAAACATTGAGAAGCATTTATGGATGAAAAACTACCAGAGCAGTGGGTGACAACATCGCAGCCTGCAAACTACTTGCTGGGGCCATTGTCAAATTCTCCCCTGACCCTCCTACAAATCCTATCCACTCTCCACATACAAAGCTGTTGGCAAAAATTATAATTTCACCATTGCAGAATTGACCAGGGAAAACAGTAGCTTTGCTGCCCAGGGGAGTGGACTTGATATGGGGAAGAGGGAGACAACTCAAGGTGTTGTCAGTAAAAATAGCAAACTCAGTAGAAAATGAGCAGGAAATACTATCACTCTGTTAATATGCCTTGAGGTCCCAGGGCAAATCGGGGTATGAAGTGGATCAGTGAGATATTTAACAGGAATATCCTAGATATTAGAGTCGCAGAGGTCCTCTCCACCCTTCTCTGACTGACCACGAAACCATGAGCATGCTCAGGGACCCAAGAGAGCTCAGGGCAAAGTGAAAGTCAAGGCTGACTTGAGAACTAGCTGACCTTTGAAGGCTTCCCAATCTATACATGATAAACCAGCAGAGTGAAAGCTTTAAGAGACCAAGGCATTTGAGAACAGCCTGTACCCAAGTGTTGGTTATCTATGAACTACATAATCCTAGAAAGCCAGTGAAAAAAGTGAAGTTAGGAATGAAACAACTGCACAGAGACATTCGTGGCTATTCACCATGGGAGAGAGAGATTCTGTAGCTTAAGTTCAGGCAAGCTACTTCACTTTCCCTACCAAGAAAACCCTCAGGAAAAAAAAAAAGAGAATCTAGAGTTGTCATAATATATTACCTAAAATGTCAAATTTCAAACAAAAATGTTGAGCATGCAAGGAAACAAGGTGTGACTCATACTCAAGAAAAAAAATAAGTCAATAGAAAACGGATTCTGCGTGAGCCCAGAATGATAAATTTAGCAAAGACTTCAAAGATCTATTATATATATATTCAAAGAATTAAATAAATATATGGTGGCAATAACTCAACAAATAGTAAATCTCAATAGAGAAAAAGAAACTATAAAAAATGGAATTTCCAGGATTGAAAAATACAGTAACTTTTAAAAAAATTACTAGATTTGTTCAATAGCAGATTTAAGATAGCAGAATTGATGAAATCAAAGATAGTTCAGTAACCATTTAATATTCTAGCCAAAAATGCGTAACACAAATCTAATGAGGAAATATCAAGCAAACCCAAACTGAGAAGCATTCTATAAAATAACTATATTCAAATAAAATTATATAAGGTAACTGACCTATAATTTTCAAATTATCAATGTCATGAATATCAAAGAAAGGACAAGGAACTGTTTCAAAGAAAACTAAAGAAACAAGACAAACTAAATGTAATACTCGATAACTGCACTGGATTATTTTCTGGGAATAAAATTATAGTAAAGGATATTACTGGGAAAATTGATGAAGTTGACAAATAACCTCTAGTTAGATAAAACTATATCAATGTTAAAGTTATTGAATTTGATAATTCAACCATGGTTGTGTAAGAGGATATCCCTGTTCTTAGGAAAGATACATTGGTGTATTAAAGGTAAAGGGACATGATGTATATATATTGTATAAAACATGCTTTCAAATGGCTTGAGAAAAATTATTTCAGAGAGAGAGAACAAATATGGCAAAATGTTACAACTAATGTGCCTAAGAATAATATCCAATGCTCTGTTAAGACCTGCAGTGTATTTTATGTGAATTAGATGGCTCTTTAGTCAAAAATCAGGGCTACACCACACTTTTTATGGACTCTGGATTTTAAGGG
The DNA here is from genome assembly GCF_000001405.40 of Homo sapiens. Lineage (NCBI taxonomy): Eukaryota > Metazoa > Chordata > Mammalia > Primates > Hominidae > Homo > Homo sapiens. The sequence goes on along the minus strand of NC_000002.12, from coordinate 29,955,503 downwards.
TTTTAATAACCCTTTTTGGAAATAATATTTTTTCTTTTAAAATAAAAAATAAAACTAATATATACACAGTTTATAATGAGACTCTCTCTCACCCCCAGGTCCTGCTCCCTGCCTGCCCATCTTCGACCTCAGCCCTCCTCCTCCAAAGCAGTCCCTCAGAACCCCTCCTGGTTTCAGTCTGGATCCCACCACATGTTGAATGGCACCCTCTCAATCTGGGACAGCGTCCGTTGATTTTCTCCTGTGATAAATGAGGTTTTGGCTTATTTACATTCTCATCTTCCTTTTACTTTCTTCTAAAGAATCAAGTCACTACTTTCAGTTCCTTTAGCTTTGAAATTTTAAATATTATATTTAAGCCTCTGTATCTTGTGATAGCAATAAAGACCATACCTCTTGAGTCTTACTCTGCAAAATGAGGAAATGAAGACCCTGTATCTCCCTTTAAGTCATCTTCCTTCACCTCTCAGTTTCTGTGACCTGAACTTTTATATCGCTGAAGTTGAGAGTATGTACGTTATATTTTGGGATTATAATTAAGTTTTCTTCTTTCTTTCTTTTTTTGCTTTGACTCTAACTTGATTCCAAAAGTGGAAACCAACGCAGAGATTTTACGTTATTATGAGGAGGTGCTGACTATTTACTGCAAAGCCAAAGCCAATTAATTACTGTGCTCTGATTACATTTCTTTCTCTACAGTTGCCATTTCATTATTCCTGTATCACATAAAGAAAAATCTTCAAATAGATTATTTTTTCTTGCATTTTACCAATTGCTCAAAATTATGTCATATTTTTTCAGATTTCACCTTTGGACTTTGCCTTTCTTGGACTTGCCCTTCCTCAAAATTACAGATTGCTTTACATTTTTCTTGTTAAGGGAAGGAACATAGGCCTTTTTGCCTTCCTCTTTTTACCACTCAATCTCTCTATTGTTCAGAATCCATTTTGTGTTTTCTTATGGACAATGATCTCTTGTTCTATGTTGAACCAGCTGCTTCATATTTGGACAAGTTTCTTGAGAGCTTTTTGGTTTCCTTGGAGAATCTAAGTGCCTTCCTTTATTTATCCCCATGCTTTTTGTTTTCTCATTCCCAATGTGTTTTTAGATTCTGTTCTATTGAGTCCCTTCCCCAGCTTTTCCTCCCACTTCTGTTTTTTTTTTTTCTTGGAACCTTCTTTCTTGAAGGTCTCAGTTTCCCTAGTCCATTCTTCACTGGTTGGTAGGCCTATTTCACAGCTATCATTCTAGAACTTTTGTATTTAGTTTCCTGGGTTGCATCTGTTGTTTCCTGGATCCAATGTTTTCCTCTTTCTTTATTTCCAACACTATTTTGTTGACAAACATCCTGAAATAACTTTAAAAGACGGTATGTAGAATATAAACTTTCTGAGATTTTTTTTGGTATCAAAAGACTTTTATTCTTTTACACTTGTTTAGTAAATTACCTGGTTATAAATTCTAGCTTAACATTTTATGTTCCTCAGCCTTTGCGATATTATTCCATTATATTTTAGCATCCACTGTGGAGGCTAAGAAACATGGTGTCAATCTGAATCTGTTTTTTATTTTTGTTGGTAGCCATTTTCCCCCATCTGGGTAGTTTTACTAGTTTCTATTTAGGCCTGGTGGTCATGAGTCTAGACATGGGTCAGTTTCTTTCATCTTGTTTGACTCTATGTTTTCCCTTTTAGCAACCCTCTCAACTGAAGTAGACTTTCTGAATTGAACACCATGTCTCTTTTCTCTCGTACGTTGCATCTCTTTGTCTTTTTGTTCAACATTCTGAAAGTGGTTTTTGGTTTTGTATTTTAAGGATCCAATTTATTAATTTTTATGTTGGGGAAATTATATTTTTGATTTCCAAGAGATCTTTAATGTCTTCGGATATTTTTAAAAAATGGCACTCAGATCAGGATTTTCTTGAATTCCACTGGGATTTTCACTTAATCTTAATGTTTCTCATGATGCTGCAGGTTTTGCTTGTGTATCATGAGATTTTTAACTGAGGCTGGGGAGAGGCTGATTGGGAACTCTCTGTACTTGGTGAGGCCTCTTGATTGACAGCTCCCCTTAGGGTGGGAAGACTGAGAGCCTTTGTCCTGGGGGCACCCCAAATGTCCACATGGGTAGGGTTTTGCTTGCAGACACAAATCCTCACAATAAAGGCTCATGTCCTCTCCAGATAGTTTGTTTTAATTCATTAGAGACTTTAGTTTTTCTTTCTTTGCACAGGGCAGATGGCTAGCACCCAGTATTCTGCATGAGAGTAGAAGTAAATTGTTCCATTAACATACCTGTATTCTGTGTTCCATTCTGACCCTAGCTTCCATTGTATTTACTCTCTCTGGAGGTCTGCCTGGAAATTTGATTTCCTCTCTGTAGGCAACTCTACCTGTATTCTAGGCTGCAGTTGTATCTGTTGTCAGACAATACAATTTCCTTCTCCCTTTGTTGAACTTTCTGGTCTGTGAATGGGCCCCTCCAGTTCTGTTTGATGTTTAATGAGGTCTTGCAAGGTATAAGACATGTGTCTGTCTACTATCTTTGGGAATAAGTTTTAATCACCAACAGTTTTGCTAGCAGGAGTCTTTGGTCAAGCTCTCTGCCTCCAGGAGGTGCTGCCCTGTTCTGTCTCAGGCAGGTTGCACTAATCCTTATTTTAAATTTAGAGATAGCAGTTCCACAAACACTTTTCCACACACTAGTAATGCATTCAGTTTTATAACTTTCGGAGACATAAACCTACTCATTCCTGAATTAGTGATTCTCCTTTCACCAAAGGTCAGTATTTATTGCTTGGTAAGGAATCTTGGTTTTCTGGAACCTCCCCAAATCCCTGGCTTTCATGAGTCCAAGCCAAGATCACATAATCTACAGGGGTAGTGTTATCCTGAGCTTTGCTCCCTCCAAGCCTTTGCCCATCTTCTTCTTTCCGCTGGAATGTTTGCTCCTTTCTCCTGCACCTTACCTGTTGTCACTTCCAATAAAAATCACACCTGAGATTCCAGGCAAGACCGGGCAGGCCATTCAAAGTACGCTTCCTATCAACATCCACGTTCTAATGGAGTTGCTGCCCTAAGCCCTGTGGAAGGAAGTGTGGTCATCAGCAGCTCCTTAATGTGTACCATATTGTCCCATGTGATTCCATTGCCCTCTCTTGTCACAGACGGTTGTATGAAGCTTGGCCATGATCCAAGGAAAACCAACCTATAGATGTGACAGCAGCCTATGAGTGGCCCTGGGCTTATTTCACCTAATCAGACTGATGATGACTACATTGGATCCATTACTCTCCATTGGGCAGTTAGCTGACAGCTGAGATGATGAACAGAGTCAGATATACACAGAGAGAAGCCGAGTCACATTCACAGTGGGGCATTAATGAGTAACAAAACAAGACTATTGCTGGCAGTGTCTTGGGCCCCAAGTGACTTCTGTCTAACTCTAGACTCTGTGAGGCTTGGTGTGTCATGGGCTTGTTTTCCCCATTAGAACAGGTTGAAAAGTTTTTCTTGGTTACAGCAAGTCCTGGCTGATGGCTAGGAATCTTTTTCTTATTGCTGTCTGCATTCTAATCATTAGCCTCCCATTGTTTGGGAGTAATATGGGTAAATTTCAGAGCTCAGGCTAGAGTGAGATAAATCCAAAGGCTTTGTTCAAAGACAAAGTGTTCTATGAAGCTGCCTCTGCAACCCCAGGGATTGCTCCTCCCTCTAAACTCACAGTTATAAATACTACTGATAAGACACAGCCCATACTGCCCCGTGGTTTGACTTTCAAACCTGTGCTATTACAGGATTGGAAGAGTATGAGGACCATGGCTTATTCTTATTCACCATTATGTCCTTACAGTGCCTGGAGTAGGGATGGCACAGAAGAACTATTCAGCACATGAAGCAGTGAATGAAAAGACAAAAGGGCAAGAAAAGGAGAGAACAGTGGAGAAAAAAGATTTTAATTAAATACATGTGGGAATTTATCTCTGGCTATTATTTATTCCACCAAGTACACGGATGTATGAATTCATTTAGCAAACCTTTCTTTTTTGCACATTTGCTATGTATTAAGTGTTAGATATACAAAGAAAGATAAGAAAGACACAATCTTTTTTCTTAAGGGGTTCTAAATCAAATAGAAAATATAGAGTTGTAAAATAATATTTATAATACAATAAATGTTGTGTCCTCATAGTTCTCTGAAAGCAAAACAGTAGCTGAAATATAAACGATGATGTTTTCATGGAAGAGGAGGAAGAATGAGGCTCCTACTATGTGTGACCTGGTGCATACATTATCTCAGTTGATCCTCAGAGCAAGCTTTTCATGGTCTATGTGGTCTGTCCTTTGTTTATTCTACAGCTGAGGGATCAGGCTCAGGGAGACTTGAGTTTTGCCCCAGATCACACAGCCAGCAAGTGACAGAGACATGATTCCATCCAAATCTTCTGACTTTAAACCCTCCTGCTCTGTGAATGTTGAGTACCTGACCCAGGTGACTTTTCTGGAGCTTAACCTTGCTCTGACATAAGATCAGAGGGAAGAAAACACACTGTTTGGTTTAAGAAGATTGTCCTGACTCTAACACCCTTGGGGCCTTTAGGGGGAAAGCAAACTCCTGCTTGTTGGCCTCACAAGACATTTAGCCTCAGCAGCTGGATTCTGTTCTAAGGAGGCCTGGTTTTCTCATCTCACACCTGGCCTCAGACTGACTCTGCTGGCCCCAAGCTGCTGGGCCCAACGGGAGGTGCAGACACAGGCTCTAACCTGCAGCTCGCCCTGCCTTGCTTTCAACCTGGGCTTTGCATCAGCTCTGCCTTCAGGGCTTTGTTTAATTATTGCAAACCTGCTGACTCTGGTTTTTTTGTCTTTTTGTTTTTAAAATCCTGGACACAGATTCCGCAAGGAGCCTGATAGAAGTAAAACATTTACCCACCATTGGTGATGTCATTACCAAAAGTGGTTGGCAACTTTCAGGCCAAGTTCATGCTAGAGTTAATCTGGAGCTCAGCCTGGCTCCAGATGAAGACAGATGTAGGAGGAGGCAGGGTGCTTGGATCTCTGAGTGACTACAGAGCCACTCGTCGCTACCAGTCAGCAAGCATCCCAACACAAGAGCTGGCCCTCCAGGGCATAAGTTAAAACAGGAAAAGGCCTAGAAAAAGTAAGGAGAGAGACACAGATCCCACATGGCAGTCTAAGGGGCCCTGTGAAGATGCCAACCTCTGCAAAGTGTAACAAAAAAAGGCAGAGAGACAGCATACACACACCACATTGCCTTACACACCACATGCCTTTATTGCAGTGCCACCAAGCAGAGCACCTTTTGGGGAAGGATGCTTCTGGGAGGGCACAGCTGCCCATATTCATTCTGATAATTACCCTCAGCGTCTTTGAGACCCTCTTGAGGACATCACATTTGACGCCCAACAATATCTCTTATGAACACTCTGAGCAAATGGCAGGTGATTATGTTCCAGATTGGAAGAGAAAAGCTCACAATACTGTTACAGGGAGGGCAGAAATACATGTTCCAGGGAGGGCAGAAATACATTTATGGGTCCTTAGCATTGGGGGCAAGGGATGCAAATCAGAACAAGCACTTTTCTCTGTATCCCCTCCTGTCAGCACAAAATTGGGCAAGGAATTCAACTTCTCTAAGCCTTGATAATCTATTTAATGGAGCTAGTGTTACCTACCCAGTAGTTGGTTGTGAAGATTAAATGACAGAACGCATTTAAAGAGCACAAGATACAGTTGGAGTCAGAGCTCACCAGATGAGTAAAGAACCCTTTGTTTCACCCCATGAAAAGCTTCAAGAGATTGTTTGATCCTCATTGGGCCCTATACTAAGTGTCCATACCCATTAGACTCTCTCCGTGAACCCGCACCCTTTTTCCTCTTCCTGGGTTTTGATGGGTCTTACTGGTCCTAAATTATTTAGCTCAAACATTTCTCTCTCTGGAACTTTCCCTGACATCACTAGGCTGAGCCAAATGCCTTTCCCCTGGGCTTCATAGTTTGCTTGATATACCACATTGTCTTGAAATTATCTGTTCAAGCACATATCTGTTATCTGTTTTTCTCTCCCACTAGTGGTAAACTTCATGAGGGCAGGGGCTATATTATTCCACTTTGTATTCCAGCATCATTCATAGTGAGCTGCATATAAAGTCCAACATAAGGAGGACCGAATTCAAGGTCCACGTTTGCCCCTTTCTATGGGTCGGGGCCAGATGGCTGCTGAAGGAGGCAGGGACAGTAGCATCAACTGCACCTTGAATAGAACAGGAATCCAAAGGTGAACAAACTCTATTTCTGCATGCCCCTGTCTGAGCTGTCAGTACCTGTGGGGGCTTTTGGCAGATCTAAGCCATTAAGGGGAAGAGAAAAAAATGGGAGAAGAGAAAAAAAAGAGGAGAAACAATAAGAGGAAAAGTAGAATTGTAGTGGTGGATCCATTACAGACCTTTGCTGATTGAGAAAAAAAAAATCATTGCCCAGTTGAGAGTGAAAGTGGGAGAAGAATATTAGAGAGAGGACAGCCAAGTAATATTTTATAGACTCTTGCCCACCTCTATGGGAGACTTGACTCCATGCAATGCAGTAGAAAATTCCCATGACGTTTCAGTTAGTGGGAGGCTGGAGAGCCGGATTTTTGCTCCTGTCAGTGGGAGGCAAATAATTCCAGCTCTGGAGTCAGATTGTCTGGTTTGGGTTTCACCAAAAGACCACTCAGGTAGCTCTTTAAAACCCTATTTTGTGATTCATACAATGTGAATAATAATGATCTCTCTCTTTTTATTGTAAGGATTAAATGTAAAGGATCAGTGTAGATGTAGTTGTCAGAGTGCTTGGTACATAACAAGTACTTAATAAATTATATCAATTATATGTGCTGATATTTTTTTCTGAATATCCTGGGCCTGACTTTGGAGTATTAGAGAGTCGAGTGGGAAGGTTGTAGGAAGGGGAACCACTGGATAAAGAATCATATGGCCTAGAGAGGAGGAGCTATTCTCCTCCCAGTTTATGTTAAGATGCTCAAAACATTTTTACTGTGGATCTAAGGGAATTAGCCATATGGAGAGACAACTACAACAGTGGGAAGAGTGATCCTGAAGTGAAAACTACTGTATTCTGGTCTAAATCCCAGTACTGCTCAGTTTTGACACATTGGACAAATTCTGCAAGCTCTCTGGGTCTCTGCTCTTTCCTCTGTCAAATAAAGGAATTGGACTGTAAGCTCCTTTTTGGCTACAATCGTCGATTCTAATGTCTAGCCAAACCAAGTTGAAACTTTTCCCCTTTGTCTATATTTACTTGCTACCCCACCCAGTTGGTTGGGGGCTATAAATTAAATAATAGGCAAAGCAAAGGTCACCAGACAGGCTCTTTATAAAGAGAACTGATGGTTGAATACATACAAGCTATATCTAGCACTCTCTGTTTAAGTATTTAAGAACCCAAAGATTTCTGGGGTAGAGGTAGGAGAGGGAGTGGGGCTGGGTGTGAGACATATGTGGCTTCCTCAGAAGGCAGAGCCAAGCATGTGTGGACAAGGGTCGTTTTCTAAACTGCAAGTGGAGACTGCACAAGGAAGGGGTTTCCATCTTGGGGAAGAGAGAAAAAAGAACAAACCACAATGACTGATTACACATAACCAAAGGGTTGTCTGATGGAGGAAGGTGGGGAACAGTTTGATGGAGGAGGATGTAGCCTCCCATGGCACTCCAGGGGGAGGACTGTGACCACCAGGGCAGATTTCAGATTTCAGTACAGTAAGAAAACCCATCTTTTCCATTAAAGCAGGGGCTGGGAAACTTTTTTGTGTAGGGACAGGCAGTAGACATTCTAGGCTTTGTGGACCATACAGTACTTGTCACATCACTCAACTCTGCCATTGTAGTATGAACACAGCCACAGGCGATACATAATAAGCATGGCCATGTACAAATAATGCATTATTTGCAAAAGCAAGCAGTAGGTCATATTTGGCCCACGGGGCTCTGTTTGCAGATCCCCGCATTGGAGGATCACCTGTAGGATAGGTGACTATTGGAAGTAAGTGGTAAGTATCCCCTCCCATCATCACCATCACAGTAAAGACAGGGTGCAATTAGAGGTTGAAAGACCCTCCCTTAATAGTGTCAAGGTGTGTATACCAGCCCAGGTTGGGTGGGGGTTACAATTAGCTGGCTTATGGTGTCTCTTTTAACGCTAAGTCCTACAATGCTATTAGATGGTAGGCATAGGGAGCTAGTATGGGGTCCCTAAGTATCCAAGAGAGGGCAGGAGACCTTGGAAGAAGAAGCTGAGGCCCATAAGGCAAACTTCACAATTAGCCTGGGGCTGCTGCAGTCTCATTTGACACTTTTCCGCTTTGATCTCTTTCTTTGGAGAAACATTGCCTGGTAAGGATTTTCTGTTCTTACAATTTTAGCAGATTTGAAGGGGATATCATGGAGATGCTCAATTATCATCCTATTAGATAAAAAAAATCCCTTTCTTCTCTCTTTTGCTGTTCTGGTTCCTCCCTCAACACACACACACACACACACACACACACACACACACACACACACACACGCCACTCACTCATTTTGTATACATTTTCAGTTGACCAGCTGCATAAGAAGCAGGCATCCAATTATCCAAAAGGAGCCCTGTCTAAATAGAAAGCTGTAGCACTCTCTTGCCCCCAAGGGCCTCCCCTTCAAGGTTTGGTTCCTGCAAACACTGTGTCCTTTTTGGGCTTCCTTCGTAATCTGTTTAGCTTTCATCAAAAATATAGCAGGACTTGGAAGCAGGAGGAGGGATATGGGGCTGCTGGAGGGAATATTAAGTGTGCACACACCCAGGCTGCCGTTATCTGACTCTAGGCTGCCAGACACGGCTGCATCTGGAATATTAAGATGCCGGGCTTCTCCTGGGGCTGCCACCATCTCAATTTGGAACCTGTACCAGGCCACTGATAAATCGAGTCCTCATAAAACCCAGCTCAAACCCAAGTGGAGCCAGGCAGGATTCTAGGTCTTTACCTGGCCATTACCTCCAGTAAAGAGCCAGCTAAGGCATCCTAGAAGACCTTCACTGAATTACCTTTCAGTCTTATGGCATGGCTGACTATAGATTTCTAAGACCTGGCCTGAGGGACACTGGTATTTCTGCTATTTTAGCATCTGCTGCATTTCAGAGTAGAAACATGGTGGGAGTGGGAATCAGACCATTTGTGTTCAAGTCCTGGCTCTGATACTTAGTAGTTACGGAGCCTTGGGCAAGTCTCAGCCTTGTGAGACTTAGGGTCCCAATTTGTGAAATGGAGATTTAAAAGTCAAATAAAATGAAACCATTCCAAGTGCAGTTGATTCTTATTATTCATGGTAGTTACATTGTATACAGTTGCTGCAAACACTGAATGAAATACTAAACCATTGCTCCTAGGAGAAATATGGAGTTAGGTTTCTGCAAGCTTTTGGTCATAATAGTTTAATCATTCTATCAACACATTGTTAAAACCTTGTTTTATGTGTGTTTCTGTTTAGACATCTTATTTAATACAAATTGTTGATTAGTTAACATTGAACTCATAGCCAACAGAACTACAACTCATGACTGAATAAAGCTTATCTAACACATGCATTTTCTTTGTAAGTCATGTCACATCCTTCTGGCCCTGCAGCACTTCAGCACCATACATGGGAGCTATTTTAAACAGTGGAATTGAAGCAGGTGGACAGGCAAGCCCCAGAATTGGGGTTTAGCCAGGGAAGGTTTGATATGCTTATGCTGTGTCCCCACCCAAATCTCATCTTGAATTGTAGCTCCCATAATTCCCACATGTCGTAGGAGGGACCCAGTAGGAGGTAATTGAATCATGGGGGGTGGGTCTTTCCCATGCTATTCTCATCATAGTGAATAAGTCTCACAAGATCTGATGGTTTTATAAAAGGGGGATTCCCCTGCACATGCTCTCTTGCCTGCCACCATGTAAGATGTGACTTTGCTCCTCATTCACCTTCTGCCATGATTGTGAGGCCTCCCCAGCCATGTGGAACTGTAAGTCAATTAAACCTCTTTCCTTTATAAATTACCCAGTCTTAGATATGTCTTTATTAGCAGTATGAGAACAGACTAATACAAGGTTCTTGGCTTCACCCAGGAAAGAATTCAAGAGTAAGCCAGTGGTGTTAAATAGCAGTCTTTTATTGAACTGGAGCTGCTTCTGGTGGAGCAGGGCTAATTCATAGGCAGCGTGCCCAGAGTCACACTTGTGGGCTGTTGGTGGCCATATTTATATCCAATTACTTGTAATACTTGCAGTTACAATACTTGCTTAAGGGGCAGTTTATTCAACAACATTCTAGAAAGGGGTGGTAACTTCCAGGTCATTGCCATGGAATTTGTAAACTGTCATGCCACTGGTGGGAGTGTGTTATGCTAATGAGCAATGAGGGCATCTAGGGATCACTTTTGTTACCATCTGCTGGTTTCTGCCAGTTTCTTTTTTTTTTTTTTTTTTTGAGACAGCGTCTCTGTCGCCCAGGTTGGAGTGTAGTGGTGCAGTCTCAGCCCACTGCAACCTTTGCCTCCTGGGTTCAAGCAATTCTTCTGCCTTAGCCTCTGGAGTAGTTGGGACTAATGGCCTGCACCATGCACCAATTTGCCTAGCTAATTTTTGTAGTTTTAGTAGAGACGGGGTTTCACCATGTTGGCCAGGCTGGTTTCGAACTCCTGACCTCAATGATCTGCCCCCCCTTGGCCTCCCACAGTGCTGGGATTACAGGTGTGAGCCACTGTGCCCAGCTGGTTTCTGCCAGTTTCTTTACTTCATCCCATCTGGATCAGATTCTGTTTTGTGTCAGCAGGGTTGTGACCAGAAAACAAGTCCTGCTGGTCTCCTACTTCAGAATCACCAACAAAAAGCACAAAAATGTGCCACTCAATAGACTGCAAAAGGGTGCTGGTTTACAGTCTGAGAGCCAAAACAAAAAGGCAGAGCTTCACCTGGTCCCACCTCAGCTGGGAGCGTGCACATTTTCCCTCATCTGCATATGTCTATGAATGACTGCAAATGCATCTCAAGACTTGATTTGGGAGTTACACAGAAAGAAATTTTAGTAGGAGAATTTGCAAATACTGAAATGTGAATAATGAGGAAAAACTGTGCTTCGGGGTGGTCATGGTGAGGATCTATCAGAAAGTCCAAACTACCCCATCCCGTGTGCTGAGTCCTTTGAAATTTACTTCCTGCCTGCTTCTTCCACACTTTCTGCCGCTGCTCCTAACACATACCCCATTCTCCAGCCACTCCTCTTACTCTCTGGTCAGGGAATGCTGCTTCTTACTTCTGTACCGCTGCACATACTGTTTTCTGCCTAAGGTGCCCTCTTTATCCTCACAAAACTAAGCTATTATTCTTCTCAGAAGATGCCAATAGGTAGGCATCTTCATCCATGTGGGCTGCTATAATAGAATACCATAGACTGGGTGGCTTATCAACAACAGAAATTTATTTTTCATGGCTGTAAATGCTGGGAAGTCCAAGATCAATTTGCTGTTAGATTTGGTGCCTGGAGAGGGCCTGCTTCCTGGTACTTAGATAGCCATCTTTTCACTGTAACCTTACCTGGCAGAAGGGGCAAACAAGCTCTCTGGTGTCTCTCTCTCTTTCTTTTTTTGCTCGGTCACCCAGGCTGGAGTACAGTGGCACCATCTTGGCTCACTGCAACCTCTGCCTCCCAGTTTCAAGTGATTCTCCTGCCTCAGCCTCCCGAGTAGCTGGGATTACAGGCATGCACCACCATGCCCAGTAATTTTTTTGTATTTCTAGTAGAGATAGGTTTTCACCATGTTGGCCAGGCTTGTCTCAAACTCCTGACCTCAAGTGATCCACCCACCTCAGCCTCCCAAAGTTCTGGGATTACAGGCGTGAGCCGCTAGCTGCCACACCTGGCCTCTGGTGTCTCTTTTATCAGGGCACTAATCTGTTCATGGAGGCCCCACCCTCATGATCTAACCACCTTCCAAAGGCCCCATTTCCTGGTATCATTACCTTGGGAGGTAGGATTTCAATATATGAATTTTACAGGACACCAACATTCAGACCATAGCAGTAGGAAACCTAGTCGTCCACACAATTTGTATATTTGGCTCAGAAGCAAAGAGTTTGATTTTTATGATTTGTTTTTTAAAGCATGCATAAGTTATGGGACAAACAAATGAAAATGACTTTTCATTAAGGATCTGTTTCTTTTGTTTCCCCTAATCATTAGCTCTTGAGGAAATTCAGTCCTTTGTGAATGTTCTCACTGTTAGGGCTTGGGGGGAAATTCCTGCTCTATTTTTCCTGGCTTTTATACTCAAGACTTTGAGAATTCTCACTCCCAGCTTGTGGTTTCCACTCTTGCCCTACGCTTTCATCAGATGAGACCCCTTAGAATGGTGAGATAGGAACAACCAGCACCATAATAACATCAGAAATCAAAGCCAGCCCTTTATGTCTCCGAATGATAGATCCAGTCCTTAGCCCTGGTCACTCCAGGTCAGGGCTGGACTCCTGGAGAAGGAGGAGCCAGTAATGTCATGAGTCCTGTGAGTCTGGCTCCCAGACAGTTGCCACTAGGCAGCTTGGCTAGGTGTCACTGCTGGCTGGGTTTGGGCTCCCATCCATTTTTGCCTGCTTCTTGGATATGTTTGCTCCATTCTTGCCTTGTTTCCTGCCTACCTCTATCTAGTTCGGGTGCTTGTTTCCAAATTTGTTTCATCTTCACTCCAGCCAGCTAATTTCCAGCTGCTCCTGGCTTCTCTCACCTGCATGAACTGCCTTTCCCCTATTCCCTGCCGAGGCTCTGATGGTGTCATCTGACTTCAAGAAGAGGTGGCACTGGGTAGCGGAAAGAATACTGGGATGAAAATTAAGCAGCCATGGGTTCTGGTCCTGTTCCCACCGCTCATTATCTGTATGTTTTTATACATGTCCTTTATTTTTCTGTGTCCCATTTTTCCTATATGAGAAATGAAAGGTTGACTAGATTGCTAAGAGCTTTTCGAGCATTCACATCCTGTGGTGCTATGAGTCTTCGGAAGAGAGATGGGTGGGATGCACCTGATTTGTCATCCACAAGTGGTAAACTACCTTTGAATGTCCCCAAGGCTAATGGAAAATTTGCTTCGTGACTGTTTGGTTGAAAATGTTCAGGAGCTATATTTCCCCAGGCTTGTTGGTGACAACACTCGGGTGAGTGCTGTCAACACAAATGAAAATTAAGCAAAAGCAATAACAATAGGCAGGGAACATTATTTGGCTTTCAAAGTAATCTCAAATTCATTCATTACTCATCTTTTGGAGAAGAAAAGCCTCCTAGGGTATCAGAGAAAGTCTTACTACTCAATTTTCTAAGGCTGCTTGGTGACTTAGAGATTGGCTTAAAAAGGAAACACAAGTAGCCAAATGCCCGTGAATCAAAAGAGAATATTCATTGATTTGGGGACCTTTATAATATAAAGTGAACCACACAGGATGACAATGACAATAGTGGTGATGACAGTGATAGTGGTGATAGTGATTGTGATGATGGTGATGATGATGATAGTGATGATAGTGATGATGGTGGTAGTGGTGATAGTGATTGTGATAGTGATGATGGTGAGGACGATGGTGATGGTGATGATGATGGTGATGATGTTGGTGATGATAATAACAATAGTCAGAACATAATTATGTGCTAGGTCCTATGCTAAGTCTCCATCCATACTACCACACAGAATCTTCAGAATCACATTGTATTATTCAAGGTCAAACAAATGCATAAACAATAATATTTTATAAACAACGAACCCAGACATGTTAAGGGGTCAATGGTAATGTTAGTAATCATAATGTTTTACATTTATTTCTAGTTTATAAGCCATTGCTCATCTATGATACCCTTTCTGCTTTGACATTAGCAACAACCCAAGTTGTAGAAAGGGTGGGTATATCTCATGTTATAGAGAAAGAAATTGAAACTCATAAAGGCAACAGGCCTACAAGCACCTAAAAAAGAACTGATGAAGATTACTTCAGGGCAATTGCATCAGAAATTTGAGAAGGACAATCCCATCATTGGAATTTGTACCCACCCTCCCACCCCCCCAACCCCTCAACCCCCCACCACCCCTCCCCCTGCCACCACACACACACACACACACACACACACACACACACAAACACACACAAACATTTACTCTTATGTAGAAAAAGCATTTGCTTAATTGCATGCCCTTTGGCCATATTGAAACCTGATTTGGAAATATTTAAGACTGCAAAAAGTTCCCAAAAATTTTCAGAAAGAAAGCTGCTTACCTTTCCCTCCATGTTGCTGGGCTTATTGTTTTGTTTGTTTTGTCTGGGTGGTTCTCTGGCCCTGCCTCCCCGAAGCTCATTCTGTGGGTCAGATGAGAGGAGTTTGCTGTTCTCTGCCCCTCAGTGACAGCTGTTTTTTTTTTTTTTTTTTTTTTTTTGCTGCGTTTTTCTTTGAAATCGCTGACTTTGGAAACTTTAGGCCTGCTTAATCTCCAGTCTGTGTTCCCTTGGCTGCAGCCAGCCCTGAATCCAGGCTCTGTGCGGAGCAGAGGGAGTCTCTGGCTCCTTACTTCTCTACACTGCTTCCGTTCCCCTCAAGGTCAGCCAAAGGGCTCAGACAAGAAGAAAAGATGATGTCAGTGTTCTCTCTTCCAGTTTCCACATTCAAGAACTTTATGAAACTCATTCTTTTAATCTTTATTCACATTCCACCTTGCCTCAGCTTGGTACCATGTGGCCTCGTGAGTAACTTTCTTCTTCTTTCATCTTCTAGGTCATTCATAAGGATGTTAATCATTTAGAAGGATGGGAGTTTTCCCTACCTAGAGAATGCTTTTTCCTGAACTCATTGAAAGTCTCTTTGATTTGCCCAAGAACTAAGAAAATAAGTAACATATTTATAAGCTCTGGGTGTTATATCAAAATCCCCACATTGTAGAGAGGTCTGCTGGCTGCTCCCATTGGCAGAGTAGGTGGTTGCTTATACAGTGTCTTTTAAAAGTTTGCTAGAAAAGCCTTCCTAAATCTAAAGATATTGCCTTGGATTCTGCATTACAGATATACAGCTTAGTGTTAAGCATTGGCCTCTTAGTGCAATATGGGTGAGAATATCTTTTAAAATAATACTCCTGGAGTGGCTATCAGCTAGAATTGTGTCTGACTAGAATAACAGAGGCTAGATTGAATTTCCTCAGGTATAGCAGATGCTGTTAGTATCCCACCCATACCTGTCAATAAGGTTCTTATTGCTACTGCAAATACCCCCAATCACAGTCATAGGGTTGTTTTGGGGTAGGGGAGCATGCTTGGCCTGTGTGCTGGGCAAGCCAGAGTACTGAAGAATTAAAGCCCTACAGAAGCAGCCCTCTTCCAAGGACAGGTGGGATTGAGTGGATACATACCCCAGCCTCTTCTCCCCTTGGTTAGATAATCCTGGCATTGTTCTACACTGTCTCCCAGACTTCCCCAGGGATTAAGCTCCAGGTTCCCACTGTGCCATTGGCTTGGCGACACACTGCTACTGGCTCCCTTTGCTTCCCTGTGTCACTTCCCATCCCTCCACCGGTGTTTCCTGAAATCACTCCCAAATAAACTACTTGCAGCTGAATTCTCCTCTCAGGGCTGCTTTTGGAGAAACCCAAACTGGGGGTGCAGGTAAGGACAATCCATGAGACTTGAAGGACCCAGGGTGTTGCTTCCAGCACCACCTTCTTGAGTTTAGTTTTCAGTGTTATGGCCAGAGAGCTGCTGCTGCCCCTCCAGGTATTAGTCGGTATTTGAGGCAGGAAAAAGGGGAGAAAACACCAAAAGCCAAGACAAAAGCCAAAACCTCTGCCAAAGATTTTGCCCTTTAAACAGGAAGGGATACTGTATTATTCAGGGTTCTTTTAGAGGAACAGAATTAATAGGATATGTATATATAATAAATACATATATGTATTCATCATATACATATATGTGTATATATGTACATATGTGTATATATGTACATATACGTACATATATGTATGTACGTATATGTATATGTCCTTATACAAAGCAAATTAGCACAGGTATAAATATTAAACTTTAATTATTGGAAAATTATAGGCCCAAACTACTTTTGATGCAACTATAGATCACTGCATATCATAGGGTTAACCAAATAACTGATAATACTCTAAATTGATAATAAGAAGGCTAGATGAACAGTGATTATATTTTACAAAAAGCAAAAATAGCAGCTCTTGAAAACCTCACCAGTTAACAATAATTGTGGTAAAGTTGTTCTAGTAAGAAATCGCATGAAGTATTATTTGCATTTTGAGTGCAACTCATGATAGCACTGCAGACCCAGTGATGGAGGAAACTGACTTCCTCAAAGTGTTGGAATACACCTACCTAGCAGAATATATGTACATATATACACATATACGTATATGAGTATATGTATATATGTACATATATGTACATATGTATATGTTTATATGTACGTAAGTGTGTGTGTATATATATATATAGAGAGAGAGAGGAGTTTGTTAAGTATTAACATACACAATCACAAGGTCCAAAAATAGGCTATTTGAAAGCTGAGGAGTGAGGAGAGCCAGTCTGAGTCCCAAAACTGAAGAACTTGGAGTCTGATGTTCGAAGGCAGAAGCATCCAGGACGGGAGAAAGATGTAGGCTGGGAGGCTAGGCCCATCTCTCCTTTCCACGTTTTTCTGCCTGCTTTATATTCGCTGGCAGCTGATTAGATTGTGCCCACCAGATTAAGGGTGGATCTGCCTTCCCCAGCCCACTGACTCAAATGTTAAATCTCTTTTGGCAACACCCTCATAGACACACCCAGGATTCATTCTTTGAATCTTTCATCCAATCAAGTTGACACTCAGTACCAACCATCACAGATGCCTTCTCCAAGAAGTTCTGCCTATACTTCTTTTGCCAGAATTATTTCACAATACTCCCCCACCCCAACTACAATTGATACTATATTGAAAAATTGAATGGTTCTAGCTGAGCATATTGCCCTGCCAAACAAAACTGGGATTCTCATTGTGAAATAAGAGAATGGATATTGGGTAGGCAAGTAGCAGTATTTGTCACCGTAGTTACTTCCTTATGATGTGTCTCTAACACTTGAGTGAGGCATGAGTTCATTAGATCCATACTGCTCAAAGTGTCTGACCAGCAGTACTGGCATCACCTGAAAGCTGATTAGAAATGCAGAATTTCAGGCTAGCCCCAGACCTTCTGAATAGGAATCTTTTTTTAACAGGACCCTCCCCCTTCCCCCTGCCCTCCCTTCTCAGGTGAATTGTATGCACATTCAAGTTTGAAAAACATTGTCTTAGATTACTTTCCTTAATGTCAAAGAAACAAGGGAATCCCTGGTTCTTGGAATCTTTTGCTTGGCTTTGCCCAGTGCCTT
The DNA here is from genome assembly GCF_000001405.40 of Homo sapiens. NCBI lineage: Eukaryota > Metazoa > Chordata > Mammalia > Primates > Hominidae > Homo > Homo sapiens. The sequence goes on along the minus strand of NC_000002.12, from coordinate 29,938,025 downwards.
CTCAGTGGCAAATTTCTGCTAAATAAATTCACAACTGAATAAATTATGTCAACCCAGTGTTCAGGGAGAAGTATCCTTCCTAAGCAGCTCATAATCAAAGTGATCCCTTCTCCTTGGGACAATTCACCCCCTTGGCAATGCTATTTGCATTTCTTTTTTTTTTTTTTTTCCCTGTATCATAGTCAGTTTTGAACATCTGTCTTTGTTTTCCTGAACCAAAAGGTCCAGGATCTTCTCTCATTCATCCCCCGTCATCTCCCATCATCCCCCGTCATCTCCCATCATCCCCATCCCACCCCTCCTGATATCCACCCAGCTGGGTGCTTTGCTAGGGTAAATTGAGATGATTAAATCTTATCTTTCTGTGCCTGGTTCTACCTTTTCTTTTTCCTTTTCTTTTCAACCTTTTCTCCTCAACTAACGGGGCCATCTTTCTGGATTTTTCTAGCATTGTTTTAGAAGGTTATAGTATTTTGAATAAATAGAAAAGTGTAGTGCTGCGATTTCAAACACTTTTTGGCAGTAGGATTCTTTCTACAAACATAGAAACTCAGTGTGTACCCAGATTACAGGCGAGCTGCAGTGCTTCAATGAAGTGGTTGGGGGACTTGGATCCCTTACCAATGGCCTCTCCATCATTGCCCCCTCAACCCCTATAATTTCTTAAATTATTTTTTTTTTTTTGATCATAGTCTACTTGAGTGAAACAGAAACCTCCCTGACCCATCAATTACCTCTGTCAGTGACTGATGGGAGTTGGGGGGAGACAAAATATAATTGAAGGACAAAATCAATTATGTTAAATTTGTTGCTATAAAGAAATACATATTGCATATTATTTGTATTGTAAAAAAAAGAAAATGAACACATACAAGAGTCTATATATGCTAAAACAATGCCTTGTGATTTTAAGATAACTCTGATTTTTATTATACTTTCTTTGTTAGAAGGCTCAAGTGATTCAAATGGCACAAATTCACAGGCAGCACATAAGTGTGTCATTTAGGTGTCTGTATACAAAGCAAATTAGCACAGGGATATAGATGATAAATATTAAACTTTAATTATTGGAAAATTATAGGCCCGAACTACTTTTGATGCAACTATAGATCACTGTACATCATAGTTAAGCAAATAAGTGATAATACTCTAAATTGATTATAATAAAGCTAGATGAACGGTGATTTATATTTTACAAAAAGCAAAAATAGCCGCTCTTGAAAACCTCACCAGTTAACAATAATTGTGGTAAACTTGATCTAGTAAGAAATCGCATGAAGTATTACTTGCATTGTGAGTGCTACTCATGATAGCACCACAGACCCAGTGATGGAGGAAACTGACTTCCTCAAAGTGTTGGAGTACACCTACCTGTAAAGCATTGCACACACAGTAGGAGCTGGGAAACACAGCGGGGTTTGAAAGATATCCTCACTTTTCAGTGAATACCGAGTTAGACTCTTCCACAAACTCTAATAATGAGCAATTTTTAGTTTATGAGTGACAAAATTTAAGAACCCGGATTGCTGAGTTTAAGTTGTGACTGTGTAGCCTGTGGTCCTGAGTCAAGATGAAAGTCTACTGTCTTCCCTGAAAGAAAGGGAGACCTCTTGCCTTCACCAGGCTTTGAAAATCTATAAAGAAGGCAGAGAGTCAGACTGGAAAAATGCTTCACTTCCCTCAAAGGAGCCTCGTTCATTATGTGGTGCTGCTGGAGACAGAAGCTAAACTCACCAGATAGGCTCCCTTGATGGGCCAGGAGTGCATTCGTTTCTCGGCAAACTCGCCTTGATGTGGTGTGACTTTCAGGGAAGTAACTAGCTGCGGTGCTGGTGGTTCATTAGCCTAGTCCCCAAACACCCCGGGAGGCATGGCAGTGGGACAGCTTCTGAGTGAGGGTTTCTTAATGGGCTGAGCTGCTTTTCTCGTTTGCTTAAAGACCAATTTAAAAGCAGTTCAGCAGTTCTGCCACTTCACACCACCCTTGACTCCAACCACGGGGGGCTGCCGGTGGATCTCCTCAGCATCCTAAGGCCACCATTCGAAGTGGTCCTGACTGTGCGTGTGAGCAGTAGACAGTTTGTAAATATGATTGTTCATCGCCAGGGATGCTTGTTCTTACCAGTGGCCGTAACTCGGGCTTGCAGGTGAGACCTGCTCAACATCATCAGGCTATGGAGAAAAGGAGGAAGTAGAAAGAGGGCAGAGATGGGTACGAGGCAACCAAACCATCTCCCACGAAAATGCCAGCTAGCAAGCCAGTGGCTAGTGTAACCAGGGGTGTGGCAGATGCCATCACGGCTCCTAATAGCCCTAATACCTGAGGCAGTTTAGGAGCAAGTGCAGACATCTGAGACACTGTGGAATCAGAGGCAGGGCTACTCCATGGATAGGGATGTACAGAACCAGCCTTGGGCACATGTTGTCTATGGCTGGAAAGATCTTGCTGTCATAGGCTCCCATGGCCCATTCCAGTAAAGGATGATTTCTCTAACAAAGCCTCCTAGTTCTAGGTTTTTCTGGGTTTGACAGACATGTCTGATCCACTTTGTTCAGAGTATCCACTGGAATCTACCCACGGATGGTTTGGGTGTGTCTCCACCTTCCCAGAAATGCATGTGCATCCTTGGAGATTCTAAGCCGAGTAGTTTAGAAATAGCATTTGTCCTGTCTGGGTGGGGGTCATAGCATACCTAATAGTTCTAGAAAGAGCCTGATAATTTAACTTCTCGTCAGAAGAGTTGAGGATGAAGAGTTGGACCTTGTAGGACCTTTAGCACTTCCTGCAGCACTGATGAAACTGTAAGGCTATGCTTCTCAAATCATGGTATACATAAGCTTCACCAGGTCTTGGGGAGCCTGGGATTCTAAAGTTTTAGTAAGCATTCCTGGCTATTCTGTATGTTGGGAAACTGTGACATGTGGTTTCGCAGTCTTCACAAGGTCAGCATTAGCAGGTGTGGGTGAGGATAGAGAGTGTGTCTGAAATGATTTTGTGACTGGGGCTCAGCATGCTTTGTGAGTTAGAGACAGGCAAAGACTATGGGGGCTTAGGAAAGAAAGACAGCTCAGATAGAGCAATAGTATATGAATAGATTTGAGTTGAAAGATTTTGCAGGCACTGTCTTCTTTCTTGAATGTTCCCTGAAAATTAGGCCCCAGTAGTAAATTTTTACTCAGCAGCCCTAAGCTGAAATGCATGTGGTGCCTACGTTTTGGTAATCCCTTTTAGAGGAAAATGTTTAAAAATACCTTATTTTGGTCCCCAGGAGAGTTTACCATCTAATTCTAGACGATAAATTCATTCCTCCAGTTTGAGATATGTACACATATCACATGTCACCCGATAGGTGCAAGATGGGGGGCCACAATGATTGATTGGGGAATCTGAATTTTTGATGGGAGCATAGAGTTTAGAAAAGTAAGAGTCATAATTCAATAAAAAGATATCTTTTTCAAGGCAATTCTAGCATTAGGCATACTGTGAGATATTAGAACCATTCCCGTAGAGTCAGGAACAACACAAGATTCTACACATCCTTACTGTGATTTGGCTTTATTTTGGAGGAGCTAGCCAATGAAATTTGATGAGAAGTGTTGCCAAATGCCAAGGGTTTGGTGAAGGTCAGTTGCTCACTGCACAGAAAGCCAGTCACTGAGACAGTGGGTATTGTCAGAAAAGAAAAGCTTTCTTGTGGGTGACGTCTGCAGAGAGATGGGAGACAAGGCTCAAATTAGTTTTTTCCATGGCTACAGTTAGGGGTTTATACAGTAGGGAAGGAAGAGAAGATGTTCAACAGGCAGCAGGTGGTCAGGCAAGGGGTCTGGAAAGTTTCCACTCCTTGATACTATCTGGGAGCTCTGACGATTGGTTTTCTGAGAAAGAAACTCAGATAAGACAAATATAAGTTTCTCAAGCTTCAAGAACAGGAAAGTCAATATCTGTGTTTACTCAAAAAAAGCTATAAACATCAGTTCTATGGGAAAACTGAGCTGGTTTCAGAAAGAAAGGAGGTATAAAACTCAGAAAGAAAGCAGCACAATTTTCATTGTTTTCAGATGATATATACTTGAAAAATCCAAGAAGACCAACTGAAAAACTGTTACAAGCAAGTGTATCCAGTAAGAAGGCCAGATATAAAATGAATATAGGAAAATCAATAGCGTTACAATATTATATAATATATAACTCCAATATTATATAATTCCAGTATTATATAATATGTAGCCAATTCAATAGCATTATATAACCAAAATTATATATTATATAACCAATTCAATATCATTATATAACCAAAATCAATAGCATCCCAATATTATATAATATATAATTCTAATATTATATAATATATAATATAACCAGTTAGAAAATATATTTGAAAGGAAAAAAATTCCATTTATAATAGCAAAAGAAACAATAGGAGTAAACTTTACAAGAAATATGCAAGATCTATGTGAAGAAATTATTAAATGCTACTTAAGAACACTGTAAAAGTACTTCCTGTGTTCTTGGACAGAAAGGCTCAACATTGTAAAGATGGCAGATTGTCCTATGTTAATTTGTAAATTTTAAGTAATCTCAAAGCAATAGGATTTTTTTAAACTAATTGAGTCAGTTCTAAAATTTATATGGCAAAATAAAGGAGCAAGAATATTTAACTAAATGCTGAAAAGAACGGATAATAGGAAGGAAGGAACAACTTTCTACCTATTACAAAGCTATAATATTGTAAATGGTGTGTAGCTAGGGAGGGACACACAGACCGATCCATGCAACAAAATGGGGGAATCAGAAAAAGACCCAAATACAGGCAAAAATAATTTTATAATAAAGGTAGAATTTCTTATCAGTGGGGAAAAAATACTTCTTACTAAATAAATAGTGTTAGGACAATCAGTCCCATGTAGAAAGAAAATTTAAAAAGTAAAGTTGGATTCTTGTCTAAATCTGTATGAAAACAATTTAAATGGACTAAAAAGTTTAATATCCCATAAAATCACTAGAGGAAAATATAGAATAAATGTAAAACAAGAGAGGGAGAGTGTGTGTGTCTGCGCACGTAACTTACATATAACCCAGATGCCATAACAGAAATTATTAATTTGATAGTTGCAAAATTTATTTTGCCTGGTAAGATAAACCAATTAAAAGGCAAAAGACAGAAATGTGCTAATTTTCTTATATGTAAAGAAATTCTAGTAATCGATAAGAAAAAAACAACAAATCAAAAGACAAACGGCAAAGTACATAAGCAGACACTTTCCAGAGAATAAGATACAAGTGACTTTTTAAAATAGGAAAATATACTTGATCTACTCATAATGGAATAAATGGAGCTCAAAGTACAATGGGATACCATATTTTTAACTATCAGATTTTAATGATCAAAAAACTGATATACTGTGATGGTGAAGATGTGAGAAAATAATTGCTCTCAACTGTTGTGGGTATAAAAATGGATATATTCTCTATGGAAAGCAATTTGACAGTACCAATTTCAAATGTGCATACCCCTTGAGCCGGCAATTCCACTACTGAGAATTTACTATAGAAATATTCTTGCATTTTTACAAAATGAAGGGCACATAAGGTTATTCTGTGCAACATATATTGTTATGTAATAGTAATAATGCAGCGAAGATATATTTTAAAACATTAAATTCTATTAATAGAAGCTGGTTAAATACATGTGGAACAACCATAAAATAGAACAAAATAGTCAATTAAAAACATGAAGACCGTTTTATAGCTGTTGAGATGAAGTAATCTCAAAGATTTATTGCCATATATTTTTAAAAAGCCACAGAATACATATAGCATACAACCATTTTTATGTACATGTATGTGTGTTTTAAAATCTATACCAACAGATCTTAAACATTTTGGTGTCAGGAAGCCTTTATACTCTTAAAAATTATCAAGAACTCTAAAGAGATTATCTTAGAAAATTCTAGAAAACCTAAGAATACACAAGCACACATTCCATTAGCTGTCAACGTGATGATGTCATCACATATCATATAGCCTTTGGAAAACTCCACCATATACCTCTGTTAGGATAAAAGTGAAGCAGGTGAATAGTGCTTTGGTATTATAATAAAAGTAGCTTTGATCTTATAGACTCCCTCAAAGGGTCCTGAGGACCCCAGGGGTCCATGGAACACACTTTGAGAACATCTGACCTTTACATCTATAATTATATATGCATAGAAGGGTTCTGCAAGAATACCCCAGAATGGGTAACCATTATTGCCTCTGAAGAAATTGACTTGGAGGACCGGGGACCCTGGAGGGAGAAGGATGTGCTTTTTACTACCTAATCTTTTGTAACTTTTCAATTCTATGCATGTCTTAGTGATTACATTTTTAAAAAAGAAACTTAGGGATTTAGAGAAATGAATTGAAATGCAAACAGCAATTTATGAGCTGTAGAATTAATCAGAGTCATGGACAAAGATTAATGTACATGAATATTTGTTGCAGCATTATTTGTAACAGCAAAGACTTGGAAACAACCTACATGTCCAAAAATAGAGATTGGTTAAACAAATTATGGTATATCTATACATTGTAATTCTATGCAGTCATTAAAAACCATAAATCCCTAGAATGTTCTGTGATATGGGAAAATGCTTATAATATAATGTTAAGTTAAAAAATAGCACAGGATATGACTTTGCATCAACCAAATGATTCTGGTTTAAAACAATACCAGAAGGAACTATAACAAAATTTTGAGTCATTCCTTTTAGGTGGTAAGAATGTGGGTTATTGAAACTTTCTTTTAAACACAGTTCTGAATTTTCCAAATTTCCCACAATTAATATGTATCACTTTTATAATCAGAAAGAAAATTCTATAAAAGAAAAAAAATTAAAGGATTCCTTCCCAGGAATATGAAGGGCTGTGTAGCTTCAGCTGTAGGTGTTAAGGGAACAATGAAATATTTTTGAGGGGGTTTCCTGTCTCTGGCTATAGCCTGTGGTGATGAGTCCTGTCTTGGTGGACATTTGGGTATATGTGGCACCAGCTGTGGCAGATTGACCTGCAATGGCACAGCCTGGCTGGGGACACAGGTGGAAAGACAGAGGTACCTGGTGAACAGGAAGAAGTGGTATGTCTGTTATCTATTACTGCAAAACAAATTAATCCAGAACTTAGCCACCAAAAATACAATAAATATTTATTATCTCACAGGTTATGTGAGTCAAAAACCTGACCTAAGCAGGTGATTCTCGTTCAGGGTCTCTTACAAGGTTATAGTCAGGGTATTGGCTGAGGCTCCAGGCATCTGAAGGCTTGCCTGGGGCTGGAGCATCTACTTCCAAGATGGCTTATTCACATGCCTGGCAAGTTACAGCTGACTCTTGGCAGGAGTCCTTTGTTCCTTGCCACATGGACATCTCCACAGGGCTTCTTAAATATCCTTACAACATGGCAACTGGCTTCCCTCAGAGCAAGTGATCCAAGAGAGCCAAAGTGTCTTTTATGACCAAACTCAGAAATCATACTCTCATTTCTGCATATCCTATTGGTGACACTGGTTAGCCCTAGTCACTGTGGGAAGGCAATGGACAAGTGTGCAAATATGAGAAGGTGGGACTGTTTTCGAGGCTGGTTAACATCAGTGGACATATGCTTCTCAAAGTAATGAGCAAGACTCCAGAGCTCGGCTATTACCACAGGGCCAGACATCTTGGACTGGTGGGAGAGTCGAGGGTCTGTTTTACAGGATGAGGACTGGCTATCTGGGCCATACTGGCTGCTAAGCCATCAGGAGCCATGAGACAGGGTTTGGGACTTGGAAAGGGGAAGTAGACACAGAGGAGGCTTTTCCCTTCTGACACTGATTTCACTCCCTGTTTACAGGACTGTTGTCCCACCAGCTAGGGGTGCAGATATTGGCTGGTGGTGTTACAACCTTGTATCCTGGATGCATTGGATCAGCCTTGATGTAACTTTATTTTCCAAAATGCTTCAAAATATCTGCAAAATATTGACATCGTAGCATCCAAGCTACTTCTCCCAAATTGCCTCATATGTGGAAATATGCTCTATACAGAAGTCCCACCTGACTGCATATCCAGATTGGTGGCTCTGAAAATATGGTCATGATGGACCTATGTTTTCCTAGTGCTGGTTAAATCCACTTGGGTACTCAGTTCACAATCAGCAAGGGGTGACAGCAGAGGACTCTGGGGTTCTGTCACAATGGGATGAACAAGGCCAGTCCTGGATACCAGGGTAGACAGGTGCTGGGGGTCAGATACCCATGAGACTTTGAGAAAAGTGTTTAGGTGGGGCCTATGCAGGGAGTCAGTGCCAACAGGGACCAGTGAAGAGGGAAAGGGCAAGTCCCAGCTTATCTTAGTTTTATTTGCCAGGAGCAAAGTCCATCCCAAATTTTCTCAAGGTGAGGTGTTCATTATAAGATCACAGATCTGATGGAAACCACCAGTCCTCAGGCATTTAGGTGCTCCACTATTAACATGACTCAAATGTCAGCTCCACACAGTCTGGGCTTCCTAGTTCAAATTTTGGAGAGAAAAGCTGATTGGCTCAACCTGGCCTGGGGCTTAGCTTCCCTGGAGTCAGGTGTTCACCTCTGATCTAATCAGCTATGGCTATGACTGAGGTCCCATGGTAATTAATAATGCCCCCCTTGGCCGTAGGCTTAATCACAAGAAAGGGAAAATGGATGAGAGGTAGGTAACTAGTTTATTTCCCAAAGAGAGGTCTAGGACCTGGTGTGCACACAGCTGGGCCAGCAAGGTACTGGCATCATGGAAGCCAGTTAGGGGGTAGCAGACCTCAGAGGAAGGGCAGTGCCTGGGGGAGGGTCCTATAAGAACAAGGTTAAGAAACAGTCTTTTAAGAAATTAGGGACAGAGTGTGGCTTGGTCATAGAGGCAGGACAAAATAGGATTCACTCAATTTATTAGAAATGGGATTCGAAGTGAGAGGGGAATTAATATGAGAGGGAGTTGATGTTGAGCTGCGTGGTCTTAATTCCTCCTAGATAGAACCAAGATTGATCTCTGAATGGGGATGGGGCTCAGTCAAAGGCATTCTGCCATCCTAGGGTCTGGATAAGAAAGGAAGGCAAGGACGGAGGCCCAGGCATGACAATGCACATGAGAGCTGATAGATCAGATTAGACTGGCCAGTGGGAGCTGTCTTTTATTTGACCATTATTTGTCCAGTTGACAACTGCAGCAGGTCAATTGGATGTAATCTATAGCTCAGAGATTGACTTGCCTACAGTTGATCTGACCCACCTCACAGACATGTCTAAGCTCTAAGACACCAAAGGCTTCTCCATGATGCCACTAAAAGTCACAGACCACAATTCTGACTGCAAGGCAGAGAGAACTACATGGAAAGGACACTGCACGTGGGTTTGGAGCCCTTTAAAAGGCTTTTCAAGAAGGCTGTGTCGATAACCAAATTACCCAAAAAGGGTTTCTTTGTCTTCCTCAGCTCAAAAGGATATTTAAAAAGGCAAGAGCGTATTAGAATAGCAGCAGGTGATAAGACCAACACTTGTTCGTTACAGTAATAGCTCCCACCCCTCTTCCCTGATGTACTGTGCTTTGGCAAGAACAGGGATTGCTGTGAAATGTTCAGTGTTGGACACAATGTGCTTCTATCTCTCTTGCTGTTTCTCCCCTCTTCTGTAGATGTGAGGTTGTTTCTAGTTTTTAGGAGAGAGCTGTCACTCTTTGGGAAAGGCTTTTCTTGTGTCTATGCCACCTCTTATCCAGCTGCCAGATAACTCTCATTGTTTCCACGATGATATATTCACAGACTGAAGCATATCGAGGAGAGATTGTGCTCTCTGATGACGGTTGGACTCCCCACCTGGACTGTGGATCCCTGGGGAGTTGAGGTCATTTTTTTCTCTGGGTAACTCTAGTCTTGTGGACCCTTCCTAGTCTAAGTCATCTAATGCAATGCTTGCAGGTCTCCCCCTTCTTTGGGAGTTGGTAAGCCCATTTGCTAGATATTTCTGACTCTCCACCTTGCAGGCCCTCTCATGATAGGGTGGGACGATGTAAATCTTCCCAGCCAGAGTTGTGAATGGAAGCGACATGTGCCATTTCCAGGCTGGAGGATTTACTTGTGGGTGCAAGATCCTCCAAGTTTACAAGAGTGGGTGCTCCCTCAGCCTGGATCTCTAAGTGACTATGATGATCAGAGCCCTCTGCTCACCTGAAATGGACATGGATTATGAGAAGAATATATTTCAATATATTGTTTTTAATTTACTTAGATTTGGAGGGGCAGGGGTTGGTTGTTATTACATCATAACCTAGCTACCCTAATACGCTTTCTTTATGGGGAGCAAATTCTATTACTATGTTATCTACAAAACTATTAAAAGTCATTTGTTAAAAAAAAGGAGAAGGAAAAAAGTCACTCATAATTCTGCCATCCAAATAAATCTATTTTTCAATGATTTCCTCCAGTTTTTGTTTTTTTTGTGTTTTTAATTTTTGCTGAGTTGTAGCATAGGTGTGAATTCTATTTCATACTCTGGGTATTTTTCATTTAATTTTATCAATGCCCCATGGTAGTAGGAACCTAGATTGTTTTTTTAATATATATTTTTAAATTATAAGTTTAAATTGTAAATTTAAGTTCTCTGGTACATGTGCACAACGTGCAGGTTTGTTACATGGGTATACATGTGCCATGTTGGTGTGCTGCACCCATTAACTCGTCATTTACTTTAGGTATTTCTCCTAATGCTATCCCTCCCCCATCCCCCATCCCCCAACAGGCCCCTGTATGTGATGTTCCCTGCCCTGTGTCCAAGTGTTCTCATTGTTCAATTCCCACCTATGAGTGAGAACGTACAGCATTTGGTTTTCTGTCCTTGTGATAGTTTGCTGAGAATGATGGTTTCCAGCTTCATCCATGTCCCTGCAAAGGACATGAACTCATCATTTTTTATGGCTGCATAGTATTCCATAGTGTATATGTGCCACATTGTCTTAATGCAGTCTGTCATTGATGGACATTTGAGTTGGTTCCAAGTCTTTGCTGTTGTGAATAGTGCTGCAAGAAACATACGTGTGCATATGTCTTTATAGCAGCATGATTTATAATCCTTTGGGTATATACCCAGTAATGGAATGGCTGGGTGAAATGGTATTTCTAGTTCTAGATCCTTGAGGAATTGCCACACTATCTTCCACAATGGTTGAACTAATTTACACTCCCACCAACAGTGTAAAAGTGGAACTTAGACTGTCTTATTCACCATGGTCTCTCTCCATGGCACATCACATACAGCAAAGCATATGGTAGGTGCTTAAATTAATATTTAATGACTTTAACTACCCTCCTCTTAGCATGTCGATCCTTACAAGATATCTTGTATGTGACTGGTCAGCAGTGTCAGGCTACAGATTCAGAGCTCAGGCTTGCCATGTGGCAGAGCATATTTTAAAAGAAATCCTGGTTTGGTTTTTCCTCTCTGCAGCATTGGGGCCCAGCTCTCTTCCTGGTTGTGCTGGAAACTCACAGTCTTCTTCTAGTACCTGTCACCTCCGGTCCCCGGTCTTGAATGAGACCTTTTGGCCACTTGAAGAATTTCACAGAGGATTTCAGACTTGTATCTTAAAGACTATACTTGGTCCTTTCTTCTAATTTGAAACAGGAGTCTGGATAAGCCAAAGGTTTTCCCAAAGTCACAGAACCTCTGAGAAGAAAGGCTGGGATGAAAATCTACTTTCCTGAACACAAGTCTTGGTTCATTTGAATGTTTCTTCTGGGTGCCAATTCTTGCTCTTGGCCCAGGGTAAGTTCCTTTGGTCATGGGTTTCCAAATGCCTTAGCAATAAGTATACTCTGATATCTAGTTTCAGGTCTACTTATTGATTTGTCTCTTGCCTTTTTATCCCCCTTCTCCTCCTCACCTCCCTCCTGCTTGCTGCTGCTGCTCCTGCTCCTGCTGCTGCTGCTCCTCCTCCTCCTCCTTCTTCTTCCTCTTCCTCTTCTTCTTCTTCCTCTTCTCTCTCTCAATCTCTGTCTCTCTCATATAACACGTGGTTTCCCCCAGCCAGAATACAACTGTATCCTGTCTTTATTTTTGACATTTGACCATGATTATTGACTTGCTTTAGCTTAGCGAAGGTAAGGGTACCTATCATGCCCTTAGGAATTTTCACATTTGCTATATTTGTCACGACAACTTTGTCAGAAATAGATTATAATCCACTTTTAAACAGGAGAGATAAGGCCAAGAGGTTAAAACTCTTGACCAAGCCCAGAATACTAGCTACATTAACTAAAGTAAAATTAATTTAATAAAGTAAAATTAACTTGAATAATATATTTTATGTAACCTGATATACCCAAAATATTATCATTTAAACATGTATTCAATATGAAAAATACTAAGGAGGGATTTTATATATTTTTTTCATAATAAACATTAGAAATGTGGTGTGTACTTTACACTTAGAGCCCATTTGAGTTTGGATGAGGCATATTTCATGTGTTCAATTGCCACATATGACTAATGGCTACCATATTAAACAGTGCAAGTCTACAGCATAAATCAGAGTATGAGACTTTCCGCTAAAGTAGTGTCTTCCCATTGCAATCAAAATGCAAACTTGTTACCATGGCCTATCCAACTGTAGAAGATCTAGACCTTGGCTGCCCCTCCACCTTTCTGTCTTCTGTTCACTATGTTCCAGCCAGATTGATTTCTTACTGTCTACTGGACATGCAAAGCTATTCTCATCTCAGGACCATTGCCTGTGATATTCCTTTGCTTAGAACGTTCTTTCTCGAAAGCTTTTCATGACTGCCTCTTTCCCACCAATCAGGACTTAACTGTAACCTCCTTAAAGAGGACTTCTTCAACTATGAAGGTAGAGCTAGGACAGCACCCGCACCTGCTGTCCCAAGTCATCTACCGCATGGCCCTATTTTGTTTTTTATAGCAACTATTATTATCTTAAATTACTTTATGTGCTTGCACATTTATTATCTGTTTCTCATCATTAGAGTGTAAGCTTCTTAAGGTGAAGGACCTTTTATTTTGTCCAGAGCAAAAAATTCCTGGAACATAGAACAACATCCTGTATACATTAGGTACACGAGGAGTATCTGTTGACCAACAAAATGCCTAACTTGATCCTATATGTCCCAATCAGATTTTGCAGTTGTGAGATATGTTTTACCTTAAGTCACATTGCTGAATTTCTCATGTCATTTTTATTATTACTTCTCTTATAGAGAATTTATGTACCTCCTTGACTGAGTTGTTCACTTTGCCCTTTCCAGAAATTGGGAATTTCCTGAGGAGGTTGTTGGTGGTCTCAGTGTCCTCTTTGGCCACTTCCTCTCTTGGTACATGGTCAACTCACATTCCTCCTCCCCCAGCCCAATGGCCCAAGTCATCTGCAAGGTGACACAGAGCAGCCCACCTAATTGTCTCCTTGGGGATTCCAGTATCTATGTCAGAATCTATGTCTGCCACTTCCACTCCCCATCTCTCTGATTTGGCCTTTCAGCTTCTTCCTCTGTTGATCTTGGCTCATCTCAATCCATTTTACCTCATCCCATTTTCTCTATTGTGAGATCACCCAGAAATTTTATTTTATTTTATTATTATTATACTTTAAGTTTTAGGGTACATGTGCACAATGTGCAGGTTTGTTACATGTGTATACATGTGCCATGTTGGTGTGCTGCACCCATTAACTCGTCATTTACATTAGGTATATCTCCTAATGCTATCCCTCCCCCCTCCCCCCACCCCACAACAGTCCCCGGAGTGTGATGTTCCCCTTCCTGTGTCCATGTGTTCTCATTGTTCAATTCCCACCTATGAGTGAGAACATGCGGGAGATCACCCAGAATTTAAGAGCATGAACTTCTTAGTCAGGTATCCAGGTTCAGCTCTAGTTACCTGTGTAGCTTTGTCGGGGAGTTAACCTCCCTGAGCTTCTATTTGTGATCTGTAGAAAAGAGATACTATTACTTTTCCTCAGAGTGTTACTGGGAATATGAAATGAGATAGTGAATGAAAGTCTTTTTGAAATAGATCATAATAAGTGCACAAGATGTGTTAGCAATCATTCTCACACTTTTCATCTTTCTGTCTATTTCCCCTATGTGCTCTTAAATTCATTTTCCCGTCTCCCATCCTTTTGATGGAAATTATGTAGGATGGGGTGTTAAAATTATAAATTTGGGCATGAGTTAAGGTCCTAACTTTTCTCAGTGGGTTGTGTAAATGTTGGAGGAAAAGAGTCAGCGGTTTGAATTCCAACTCTGTTATTTGCTTGCTGTTTTACCTTGGGCAAATTATTTTGCCTTTCTGAGCCTTAGCTGTTTTATCTCTGTAATAGAAATAATAACATATACCCTTTCCCAAAAAAACTGTGTGATGTGTTAGACACCCACATGTCTACAGATGCATACATTCGTGCCTGGTAGACTATCAGTATTAATTCCTGCCTCCTTTAAAAAAAAATTATCTAAAAAAGAAGAAATTTTTTGAGATTTAGTGTCATTTAATCTACAGGGAAAGGCACTTATTTTTCCTTGGGAAAAGTTTGAGACAATGTATAAATCATGAGAATTAATTGAGACTCTTGTGTCTATGAGGTGCAAAAGCAATGGACAGGGGTATTATTAGAGAACGTTAAACCCTGGCAGCTCATTTAAAGTTTCAAGTCTCTGCAGCCCCCTAGTGGCCATTGGGTGCAGCAGACGATTCACAGTTAACTGACAAATTAACTGGAGTCAGTAATGCCTTTGGTCAAGAATTGTATAGAGAAATAGGGAAAGGCTGGAGTTTTAGTCTTTTTTCATATTTCAAATAAAAATTCCTCTTCCAGTAGGTATGTCAGAAAAATCTGATGAAAATCAAACATATATTGTACCAGGAAAGTATTAACTACCATAGCATTTTCCTCCCTCTTTTCTTTCTTTTCCACCCTTCCTCCACCAAGATAGGAGCATATTTTCTTCTCGGGTGAGATAATTCTTTGCCCTGAAACTTGTAAAGTCAGTGTATCCAGTGTGACTTCCAGAGAGAGGGCAGATGCCTGTCAAATTAAGTGAGTTGCCAAACATAGAGCAGGAAGAAAGCCATTCCGAGAATCAATATTCCTTTGTTACTGGGTCTTCCACTTGCCAAGGCATTGCCACAAAGCTGGAAAGGCCCAGCTCCTAGGAGAACAGAGGTTCCACCTGGCCACTATCTCCTGTGGGGTGGTAGGCAAGTTACTGCGGCCCCCAGGAGCTCAGTGAGGGAGGTTCAATGTGACACTGTGCTCTGATCCTGTGAGAAAACTCCTGTGCTACCCGACAGGCCGTGAGCTCCAGAGAGGATCTTGCCTTATTCTTAGCTTCAACAGTCAGCCCAAGGCCTGACAACCAGCCTTTAAGAAGGAATCAAGGGGATTTGTGTGACCCAAAGATGGTAGTTTTGTCTGAGGATCTAGTGAACCACTTGTTATAAAAACAGCTATTATGAGTTCTGTGTTGGCAGCTCAGGAGAGACGAAAGGAAAGGGAGAGGAGAGGTACAGCCATTACAGGTGAGTAAAAAAGGCCTAAGGTTCTGAACCCTCATTCCCAAGATTGTGGGCAAACAATTAAATGCTCTGCAACTCAGTTTCTGCATCTGTAAATCTGGAATTAAAATGTTTGCCTTACAGAGACTAGGGGAGGTTACACATGTTCAGACACCATTCTGAGAAAACAGAGCGACTGACAGGGGTCTGAAAGGTATTTGTTGTAGCTGCAGAACAACTCTGCCAGACCAAGACCATCCATCCCTCTCTGCCCCCCTATTCCCAAATTCTCCTGTGTGGACGGCAGGACTCCTAAGCTCCCAGGAATGCATTCAAATAATAGATGGGTCAGAAAATATTCTGTCTCAGGGCCTTAATACAAGCTGTTCTCAGATTTGCCAGTGTCGCGCTGCCACCCTCTCCCCACTTCCTCCTCCCTTCCCACTCCCCCCTCCCTTCCCCTCTCCTCCAGTTTTATTCTGGAACCTGTTTTTCCGAAGTCGGACCCGTTTAATCTCTT
The DNA here is from genome assembly GCF_000001405.40 of Homo sapiens. Lineage (NCBI taxonomy): Eukaryota > Metazoa > Chordata > Mammalia > Primates > Hominidae > Homo > Homo sapiens. Next base: position 29,921,960 of record NC_000002.12, on the reverse strand, counting down.
AAATGTATAATTAGGGAGAGTGCTTGATTGCAAAGGCCTCTTCCAGTTCTCACATTTGCTCCCTTTCACACTGCAGAGAAATAGGGCAGGGAATCTAGAGGAGGGGAAGAACAAGAGACTGGAGAGGGAACAGAGGGAGGGTGGGGCGGGCTCACTCCTTTTCTCAATGAATGCCGAGGCCTCTGCAGATTTGCATAGGAGCCGATCGAGCCACGCCATTGGTTGGAGGGTGCGGGTGGGGCGGGGCGAGGCCGGACTGCGTGGGTCGGGCAGCAGCGCGGAGTTGGCTTGTGAGCCCCGCCCCCTCCGGGCCCCGCCCCCTCCCTGCGCGCGCTCGCGCGGCTCAGCCAGCTGCAAGTGGCGGGCGCCCAGGCAGATGCGATCCAGCGGCTCTGGGGGCGGCAGCGGTGGTAGCAGCTGGTACCTCCCGCCGCCTCTGTTCGGAGGGTCGCGGGGCACCGAGGTGCTTTCCGGCCGCCCTCTGGTCGGCCACCCAAAGCCGCGGGCGCTGATGATGGGTGAGGAGGGGGCGGCAAGATTTCGGGCGCCCCTGCCCTGAACGCCCTCAGCTGCTGCCGCCGGGGCCGCTCCAGTGCCTGCGAACTCTGAGGAGCCGAGGCGCCGGTGAGAGCAAGGACGCTGCAAACTTGCGCAGCGCGGGGGCTGGGATTCACGCCCAGAAGTTCAGCAGGCAGACAGTCCGAAGCCTTCCCGCAGCGGAGAGATAGCTTGAGGGTGCGCAAGACGGCAGCCTCCGCCCTCGGTTCCCGCCCAGACCGGGCAGAAGAGCTTGGAGGAGCCAAAAGGAACGCAAAAGGCGGCCAGGACAGCGTGCAGCAGCTGGGAGCCGCCGTTCTCAGCCTTAAAAGTTGCAGAGATTGGAGGCTGCCCCGAGAGGGGACAGACCCCAGCTCCGACTGCGGGGGGCAGGAGAGGACGGTACCCAACTGCCACCTCCCTTCAACCATAGTAGTTCCTCTGTACCGAGCGCAGCGAGCTACAGACGGGGGCGCGGCACTCGGCGCGGAGAGCGGGAGGCTCAAGGTCCCAGCCAGTGAGCCCAGTGTGCTTGAGTGTCTCTGGACTCGCCCCTGAGCTTCCAGGTCTGTTTCATTTAGACTCCTGCTCGCCTCCGTGCAGTTGGGGGAAAGCAAGAGACTTGCGCGCACGCACAGTCCTCTGGAGATCAGGTGGAAGGAGCCGCTGGGTACCAAGGACTGTTCAGAGCCTCTTCCCATCTCGGGGAGAGCGAAGGGTGAGGCTGGGCCCGGAGAGCAGTGTAAACGGCCTCCTCCGGCGGGATGGGAGCCATCGGGCTCCTGTGGCTCCTGCCGCTGCTGCTTTCCACGGCAGCTGTGGGCTCCGGGATGGGGACCGGCCAGCGCGCGGGCTCCCCAGCTGCGGGGCCGCCGCTGCAGCCCCGGGAGCCACTCAGCTACTCGCGCCTGCAGAGGAAGAGTCTGGCAGTTGACTTCGTGGTGCCCTCGCTCTTCCGTGTCTACGCCCGGGACCTACTGCTGCCACCATCCTCCTCGGAGCTGAAGGCTGGCAGGCCCGAGGCCCGCGGCTCGCTAGCTCTGGACTGCGCCCCGCTGCTCAGGTTGCTGGGGCCGGCGCCGGGGGTCTCCTGGACCGCCGGTTCACCAGCCCCGGCAGAGGCCCGGACGCTGTCCAGGGTGCTGAAGGGCGGCTCCGTGCGCAAGCTCCGGCGTGCCAAGCAGTTGGTGCTGGAGCTGGGCGAGGAGGCGATCTTGGAGGGTTGCGTCGGGCCCCCCGGGGAGGCGGCTGTGGGGCTGCTCCAGTTCAATCTCAGCGAGCTGTTCAGTTGGTGGATTCGCCAAGGCGAAGGGCGACTGAGGATCCGCCTGATGCCCGAGAAGAAGGCGTCGGAAGTGGGCAGAGAGGGAAGGCTGTCCGCGGCAATTCGCGCCTCCCAGCCCCGCCTTCTCTTCCAGATCTTCGGGACTGGTGAGCAGCTCCCGCCTGAGTGTGCCGGGATTTAGTGTTTTTAGTCACATTGATATGCAACCATTAAATAATCTTCACTTCCACCCCACTTTCTAAAACCTCAGCTCTGCTTCATCGCCCTCCTTCCTCCCGCAAACCTCCTTCCCGAATCAGACCGTAGTTTCTTGTTTTCTCCCTGAACGCAGTTCAGGGGTCTTCCTTCCTCTTTAGCAACCAAGTTGGGGGAAAAGTTTCATACTCTTGGCAGAGCGCCTTCTTCTCTGGACTTATACGCTGTCCGAGACAAAATTGGGCGCCCCTCTTCCTGGGCCCCGGGACAGTTGAAATGCCCCGATTACTTCCAGGTTCCAAGCTTAGTAGTAGATGTCAAAACTATTGCCCTTCTCTCCCTCTTGTTCCTGGCCAGCACAGATTTGGGAAATATGGTACCTTCTCAGGGAATATAGAATTTCTCTTCATATTATTGAATCTCACCCAACTGTCCCCATTCCAAACGTTGGCTTGGGCAGGTATTGCCAGGGATTGTCTCTTCTTTATTTATTTATTCTCCCCCTCCCACCCCCACCCAGTCTGCTATGCACTCTCGACTCATCCTTTCTCTTACATGTTGTTGGGAAAGCCCCAGAGAAACTAAGGAACAGAGGACAGGAGGGAGGTGTGGAGGAAGGAAGGAAAGTTGTCAAGATTGTCTTCCTTTGGGGAGTCACTATGAAGCCAGGGAGAAACCATCGTTGGTTTTCCTGCTTTTCTTACCTTTCCCCACTCCTCCTTTCCCCTCTGATTCTTAGCTTGAACGTCTGCAGCAGCAGCTCTTGATGATAGTCTCTGGCAGCTTGTTTCACTGCAGATCTCCCTGCTGGAGACTCCTAAAATGAGATTTTTCTGTTTCATTTACTCCCTCATTTCTTGCCATATTCACTGAGTTGGGGGTGTGTGTGTGTGCAGGCACTTACTTCTAACTCTTTCCAGAGTATCCTTTGACTGGAAAACCAGGTGGTTTTGAATCGATGTTCTTCTTGTAAGACAACTGGGGAAGACTTGTGAATAAAATATACAATGTAAATGAATAAGAAAGGCACAGAAAAGAAATCAGGCTTTTAAAAAGCCTACACAAATTCCATCAAGCAAACCCAGCTTCTTTTCTATCATTCTCATCATCAGAAATAAATGAAGTTCTTATGCTCCACTGGCTACTAATGTCTAATATTAATTGGATGGAAACCATTGAAAAGGGCCCATTGTAGAGCTACAAGTATCTTGCATGCTTGTGCACACACATACACACACACACGAGTACTCTCATGCAGGAGGGATATTCAGAAGCTGAGGTTCCCTAGTCATTGCACAGAATACATACTAGTATGTGACCCCCAAGAAAAACAGAGTGCGGATGCACATTTCAACATTAGTGTTAGTGACACTGGCACCTAAAGTGAGCCCTTTTCATTTAGTGCTGGAATTTATATAGACCATCCTAAGAGGCACTGATGAGTTTGATAGTGCCTTCAGTGAACTGAGATGGAAGACTGATACTGTTGTTCCACCCAAGATGTTTTTGTAAAGAACAGCTGGGCTTTAATGTCATTGTGGTTTGTGTGGTTTATACATGCAACATTCTGTTTTAGTGCCCAGTGTTTTAGTAATGGATATAAAAATGACTTCTCTGGAAATGCAGATTATCTTCTAGTTTCATGCCTCTGAGCATCTGTGGAGCTTCCCCATCACCTTTTATCAAATGACCATAGAATCCAGCAGTCTGTATCAGCTGTTGTCAGATGTTGGTGACAGGCAAAAGGGCTCATTTCTACAGCCCCGAACCTGCCAACTGTAAACAGGTAGGTTGCATGAAGCTATCAGTGGGTGTCTCTGAAGAGTCACATGCTTAATTCATTTAAAGAATATACTCCACTCAAGTCTTAAATAAGGTGTTGGAGCTGCTGAGTGGGGAGGTTTATGTAGAAAGGCTGTGCTCCAAGGGCTTCTCTGCTATTGGCTGTAGGGAAGCATTGTGGGCATCCCAAGCCCTCCCTCAGTGGCCCAGTACATTTGGCAGCTGGACCAAGCCCTTATGCATCATTTGACACATCTAGCAATGCTGATTTCAGTAGGAGCCAGGATTCTGCCATTAAAAGGCAAGAAAATTTGGCCAAGCATTTTTCAGCAGGATTGGAATCAAATGATTATTGATAGGATCAAATAAGACACTAAGTGTAACTGGATGAGCTCCCCATGACCTCCAGAGAGACAGCCAGCCTATTGAAAAGCACTTCGGGCCTTGTGGTGATCATACTTGGAACAGCCTGGTCTCTCCTTTCTCTGAGGACATATGCTGTCTGCAGTTAGGCAGCTGGCCATGCAGGACTAGCCTCTCTCACATTATCATTGCCTCCCCAGCCTCATTCAGATACAGTCTCCATTGCAGACATCCCCATGGAGTAGATACACCTTGCTATACCATGTTCTGTGTTTCAGACAACATGTATCATTATGGTTCCGTTCATTTTCCCTATGAAAATTCAAGGTTAGGTTCTGACACTGGGATTGATTTTGCTATTTATCATGTTTGGAGAAATGGGTTTATTATTTTTATATAGGCTCTGATTTATAGAAAAGGCATTTAACTCTTCTATGATGTGGGCTCTTCAATTATACAGAAGGAAAGTAGGCACAGCTCAGCTTATTTTCTTCCTGTGTCTGCCCAAGTGTCTTGTCTGGAGGTACACAATGATGCTGATGGGGCTATTTGTGGGGGAGGGAAGAGCTGATTGTTCTTCCATGTTTTGTGGTGAGGGGCCTGGAGCAGCCCATTTGGCTCAGACCAAAGATAGCTTCCTAAACCTGAGCAGGACCATGACTAAAATAGTAAAAATGAAAAAGCACCAGTTAGGAGAAAGCAAAACCGTTGCATTGCTTGTGATTTGGGCTGTCTGAGAGGACAGAAAGATGTCTGAGAGGCCTTATAATGCATGAAATGCTAATGGTTTTTCCTTGTGGGTTACTGTGAATTCAGAAATAGGATCGGCATTTCAAGTCTGAGGCAGATCCCAAATTCACCCATTCATGGAGAAGAGGTGAAGAGGCAGTTTCTGGGACTGTATTAATGGTTCTGGCCTCTCCCAGGACAGCCCAAATCATAGAAAAGATGTCTGTCTGCAAGGCTGGCATGTTGCCCACAGCTCCAGTTTGTATCCTGGCTTACAGGTGTTTTGAGATCTGTTTCTGCTGTCACCCAGGCAGAGGGCTAGGGGATGATGACTCATGGGATAGGAGGCCTATTTCCCTGTAAGCACTCCCTCCCCACCCAGGAAAGTGGATACATGACTTTGGATTTTACATGTACTATGGAGAGGCCTGAGCAATTTAGAGATGTATGCAATGCAATATATCTGACCTTTGAACTCCCATATCTGTCAGTCCCTTCCCATTTCATTTCTGGAGTGGGCAGAGAGAGCAAAGGAGGATGGAGAGGAAATTGGAGCTCCCAGAAGGGATATCAGTTATTGGAGGTGAATTGGGAGAATTGGAACTAGTCCAGAGAAGAGCAGAGAGCTGATTTAACAGTTGAAGGGACTGATTTACAATGAAAGATGAAAAGAATTAAATATATATGGCTGGGCTAAATGGCGATGAAGGGAAAGCCATGGTAACAATCTACAAATCTCTGAAGAGAGAGAGTGGCAGTGAAGGAGAGGAGTTATTTAGCGTGGCCCATGGAAGTAATTGGATCATACTTGTAGAAGCAAACTTCGGGTTGGATATCAGGGAAACCTTGTTTTCTGACATTGATATTCCTCTGACTATGGAATGGAATTCCAATGGAGTGGGGAGTCAGGTGAGATGTGGGTCAGACAAGTCCCAGCATTCCTAATTAATCAGTTCTATATTTTCACATATTGAGAAGCTACAACAGGACAGAGAGCTGGGATGCAGAATGGCAGAAGGAATCAGAACCTTTTTATGATCCAAACCCTGGAGCCTTTGGGCATTGGTGTTTTTAGAGGAAAAGAAAAGAATTGCATATACATCTTTGAAGTTGGTGAGAAGCACTTAAGAAATTGTTAATGACAAATATTTTGAAATTACTGAATTTATTCTTCCCTGCCCTCCAATTAAACATAGATTATTTCTCTGGGGTGCGATCTGTATATCCAGGGGTTTGGGAGGCACAATCACCAGAGAATTGTGTATCTAAGATACATCTATGGGTGAGGGTATATGACAAAGCATCACTGAGCAGGGCAAAAGGTGACCTGTGTCTTGAGAAGATGCCATCAGTTCTAGATTTGGTGGACTCCTACTGGCTACTTAAAAATCCCTTTAAATGTTGAGAATCTATATTGCCATTTGAAAGATGAAGTTCATCCACATCCAATTTAACATTTCAAAAATTTTTAAAAGAGAAAGAAGGTCCATGAGGGGTTTTTGTGTAAGGCATGGGAGGAGAGTGTGATTATTAATAAAAATGGGTATCTAGGCTGGCCGCAGTGGCTCATGCCTGTAATCCCAGCATTTTGGGAGGCCGAGGAGGGCAGATCACTTGAGGTCAGGAGTTCGAGATCAGCCTGGCCAACATGGTGAAACCCTGTCTCTACTAAAAATAAAAAAATTAGCCAGGCATTGTGGCATGCGCCTTAGTTCCAGCTACTCAGGAGAGTTGCTTGAACCTGGGAGTTGGAGGTTTCAGTGAGCTGAGATTGTGCCACCTCACTTCAGCCTGGGCAACAGAGTGAGAAAGGAATATCTATAAGGAAGTTGGTCTGCTGAAAATCAGGAGGAACTGGCCTGAAGGTGGGAGAAGAAAAGAATGAGAGTTGATCAGCAGAAGTCTCAGTGCCCTGCCACTCAGGATCACTGCCTGGCAACCTCACAACATGGAAATTTTTCCAGTCTGACCTGTAAAGGAAATTTTGCCTTTCTTTATAATCATTATTAGTGTCCTGTTATGGTTATTTGGAACTTTACAATTTATAAAGCATGTTCACATTTATTATTACTTATTAATCCTATGGTAGGCAGGACAAATGTTTGCTTTATTTTGTAAATGAAGTAACTGGAATCCAGACCATATTTTTCCAGGTCATATAGCACAAAATGGTATACACCTGGAAACTTTCATACTGACTAGAACCACAGTTCCCCTTTCCTTCAAGTCAGAGTTCTTTCCACTAAGGGAATCATCTCCAAGTGCAGATTACAAAGAGCAAGACATGTCAATAGGTGAAAAAATTTCCAGTATCCTTGCTAGAAGACCATGCAACAAATATTTGGTGGGCAATAGCCAGGGCTTGGAAAAATTCCTTGAAATCATTGAGGCCCAGCTTTATCATTAGAAAAATAGGGATATAATAGTTCTTAAATGTTCCTAAATGGGGATAGTAATAGTTCAAGGTGTTGTCATGAGGATTAAATTAGATGATGTGTGCAAATCCTTAACCCAATGCCTGATGCAAAATAAAGTGCTTCATCAATATGAACCACTATTGTTTTTTTATATAATAGCAACAGCTGCACTCCAGCATCTGGTCATGCAGGCTGTGCACTCTGCAACTCTAGGGGTTCCATATACATTTTAGTCTGTCTGAATGGTGCCATCTGGAGTTGTAATCTCTATGTGTGGCCATGTGTGGCAATCTTGGCAGCAGCAGTTGTGATGCTGTTGTTCTCCATTCAACTAGCTTCTTACCCCTAAGAGATGAAAGGTGGGATGTATGGGAAATGAAGAGAGTTATAAGTGTAGTAGTTTCTACCATTTCACCATGGAAGGCGACTTTCTCAGAAATATGCATGGAAAGGAGGATTGAAGTGTGGTATTTACTTCCTCCCCATGAATTAATGTCCTCTCGTAAGCCTTTTGACTTTGGATTCAGTTCAAAGAGTCCACCAGCATATTCGCAATCCAGTTCTTTTTTCCTACAGAAGGAAACCAAGGCTTAACTTTATGAAAATATGAAAGTTAAGATGGAGGAAGAACAAGATAGAGATGTTACAGCGGAATCATTTTCAGATGGCAGACGTTTCTTAACTGAGAGTGCTCTGTCCAGGTCTAGAGGCACTGGGCTACTGGCCTCTGGTAACTCTTTTATTTTAATTAGCTGAAGATGTGTTCTTTCTGTATTTTCAGCATCACCCTTCATTGCCAAGTGGAGAATATGGAGAGAAATGTAAATTACCAACTGGTTAATGGACCTGAGCACATTAAGAGCAGTTAAACTTTGAGACTCCCTGGAGACGTATAACCCAGGGACTTGAGTGGGAGGCTGCCTCAGGAAGATCCCTCAATCTAAAAAAAGAGGCTAAGAACCACAGAACATTTTGTACATGGTGGTTTCTATGAACCATAGCTGAGCCATTGCCTCCAAAAGATGCACATGAACATCATTTCTACTTGGGAGTAGATAAAAAATAAGGCGTGTGGGTGAGGATGGTTGTAGGTCTAGGATCATGTGGAGAGAGCTGAGAATAAAGCTATCAAGGAGTCCTTCTTCTTTACAGCCATTGTGTTGCTCTGTGGTCTAGGGTGTGGCCAATGTTTCTTAACCTTGTGATGACCAGGGCTCTTTCACACAGGTCAAGATGTAAGCAGGGAGTGTTGGCCTGGTGGTGAGGTAGTGGAGGAGGTTGGAGGCATTCTTCAGTATGCTTTTTGATTAATTGTATTTTTCAGAATAGCTTATTTTTCTTCAGTAAATTTTGTGATGAATTTTTCAGCTGGCTGTTCTGAGCTTGGGTCCTTTCCCAGGGAAATTCTATCAGATTCGCTTTGTGTTGTGGTGTACATATTCCAGAAAGTGGGCAGAGAAGATCTCCCTTGGGGAAGATACACCCAATCCCTTGGTTATTTAAGAGTCTTTTTTTTTTCTTGCACCTTACCTTTCTGACTAACAACAGGTGCATGCAGTGGTAGGCAGTCAGAAATCCTTAGAGTAAGAATAAAGCTAAAGGAAGGTATGAAAAAGGTATGAAGTTAGAGGACAAGGGAAATCTAGGCAGGCTTAAAGAAATCAGGAAACTAGCCAAAGGAAATGAGGATAGATTGAACCATTGGTTATATTTTTCTTTGACCCCTACTTATCTTTTATTTAGTTTTCATTGGAATGTGAGTTCATGAGGGTGAGCATGGAAAGGACTCTTTTAAGCCCAGATAAGTAAAGTAAGTGTTCTGTGGTGAGGAGAACACTAGATTAGGAGCTCGAAGACATGAATTCTATGATGTTCTTTATCTTTTGTTAGCTTTGCAATCTTCTACAACTCTCTTAAACTTGCTAAGCCTGTATATTTATATATGTATTATAAATAAAATATATATATATGCCAGTCATGCGTGTTTTAAATAACTTTTAAATAGAAAAATAGTCCTTTATAGCTATCCAGATATATACCATTTCTTTTGCTCTTCCCTTTTCCTCAAGTTTCAATATTTCCTATTTTATTATTTCCCTTCAGCCTAAAGAGGTCTTTTTTTGCATTTCCATTAGAATAAGACTATTGACGATAAATTCTCTTAGTTCCTGAAGGATATTTTTACTAGGTTCAGAATTATGCATTGACAGTTCCTTTCTTTCCACACTTTAACTATTTTGTTCCTGTGTCCTTCATAGTTTGTGATGAGCAATCTGCCATTACATTGTTGTTCCTTTTTGTAATTGCTTTCAATATTTTTTTCTTGGCTTTTGGTTTTCAGAATTTGATTATGATGTATCTCTGCATGGTTTTATTTGACTTTATCCTGTTTGTAGTTTTTTGAGACTCTTGAGTCTATAAGTTTATGTCTTTCATCAAATGGGATTTTTCAATTATTATTTTCTCCTTTTTTTCCTGCACCAATATATTCCTCTCCTGAGACTCTGATTACACACCTGTTAGATCTCCCATGCTCTTGAGACGCTGCTAATTTCTTTTTTTGAAATTTTTCTCTTTGTTCTGTAGATTGAACAATTTCTATTGACCTATCCTCAAGTTGATTGACTCTTTCCTCTGTTATCTCCATTCTGATATAATTATTTACTTTAGATATTTTAGTTTCCAGTTTAAATGTTTCATATTTGACAATGACTTCTGTTTCTTGATGAGAACTACCTTTCCATTCATTTTCCAGAGTGTTTACTTTCACCTTATGGGACATGGTCATAACAGCTTCTTTCACGTCTTTGATAATTCCAACATCTGGATGATCTTATTATTGGCATATGATATCTTTCCTCTTAAGAATTAGTCATTTTTTTTCTTTTATGTTGAGTAATTTGAGATTGTATCCTGCAAATTTTGTACATTACATTGTTTGGTCTGAGTTGGGTGTGGTTTGAACCTTTGCTTTGTTCTCAAAGCCTTTGTTATTCTGCTTTGAGTCTGTCCACACCTCTGCCACTCAGGTGAGCTGAGGCCCTTGGCCAGTTCCGTCAGCGAATTAGCATATTTCCTTCTCCAGCTCTCTTTAGGATTCTCCTTAAACTTAGAGTTTTACCTACCTGTATTATTGCTGCACAGATCCTGCATTTAGGGTTGCCCTTGAGAGATGACAGCAGAGAGATGATAAAGCAGATGAAAGTAGAGAGATGATAAAGAGAAACAAAATGGGGATTCCCTCCATACCCTTTGGACTGAAGGGACCCCTTTCCCAGTCCTTTATCCTGAAAGTTGTGGTTTCTACCAGGGTTTCTATTTGAGGGTTTCTATCAGCAGCTATGCTGGCTCTACTGAAGGGTCACCATCATGAGATAAGAAGGAAAAAACAAGTAAATGTAGATTTTCCTCTGCACTCACTGAATCATAAAGTTCCTTTCCCTGTCCTTTGGGTGAGAAAGAAAAGATTGCTTTGGGCCCCTTAGCTGTCCATGGTGCTACCACCACAGATTTTCTGGGTGCCTGCATTCAGTTCACAGACAAAAGAGGTAAAAACAGAAGACTTGCCTTCATATGAATTGCTTTTTTCAGGTTTTGACTCTCTTCCTCAATGTTCCTGATTTTACTTTTCAGAGTCCCCAGTAGTCATTTTTTGTTTTTCTTGTTGTTGTTGTTGTTGTTGTTTCGTCCAGAGTATTTCGGTTGTAAAGAACAGGATGAACAGGACTTTGTGGGCTTATTTCATCTTGGCTGCACTTGGAGTTTCTCATTTCTATGTTGAATCAGAGTTTCCATCTGTAATTTTTTCCTTTAGCCTTTAATATTTAATGTTGTGCTATTCTGTATTTAAATTATCTCAGCTTTTGTTTGCTGAAAGTGACTTTATTTTGCTTTCATTTCAGAAAAAGATTTTCACTGGGTATACTTTCAGGTGGATAGCACTTTAATGCTGTTGCTCCATTGTTACATGGTTTGCATTATTTCCAGTGAGTCAGAGAATTTCCTGAGTCAGAGATGCTCTTTACCTGTTTCCTGTTATGTCTTTCCCACCTTCTGCCTTCCTTAGGATTTTCTTTTTATCATAGGATTTTAGAAATTTGATTAATGATGTGCCCTTATGTAATTTGCTTTGTGTTTTTCCTCCTAGCAATTTGTTGATAGACTCTTGGTTCTCTTTATATTTTTCATCACATTTGGAAATTTTTAAAAAAATTGTTTTCTGCTCCTCCTTTCTAAGAATTCAATTACAATTGTGCTATACTTTTATGGTTCCCGTACTTTATTAAGGGTCTGTTCATTTTTTTTCTCAGCCCCTTTTCTCTCTGTATTTCAGTCTGCATAGTTTTTATTGCATATTTTGAAGTTCACCCTCTTTTCTTCTATAGTGTCTAATGTGCTAATAAACCAGCCCATGTAATAAGTTTTCACTTTAGATACTGTATTGATTTTCAGCTCTAGAATTTCTGCTTCCATTTTTATTTCTATCTTCATTATGTTTATGTCTTTCTCTAAGTCCTTGAACACGTATAACAGCTATTTTAAAGTTCCTTTCCACTAATTATAGTATTTCTATCATTTCTATGTCTACTTATATTGATCAGTTTTTCTCTTGGAAATAGGTCACATTTTCCTGCTTCTTTGCATACCTTGCAGTTGTTTTTTTTTTTTTTTTTGGTGTGGTGCATTATGAATATTCCATTGCTGAATGTGTGGACATTTTTGTCTTCATTGAAAGACTTTTGAATTTTCTTTGACAGTTAATTGACTTGTCCATCAATTTTATACTTTCAAGGATTATTGTCAAGCTTTGTTTGAGGGAGTTTAGAGAAGTCTTTATTCTATGGTTAGTTTAAGCCTCCTCTTAAGGTTTGGCCTTTCTGGAGTCTCCATCACATGCCTCGGGTATTCAAAGGTATTCAATGAGGTCTCTCCTCTCTGGTTCTTACACACTTAAAAAACATTTCCCAATTCCATGTATGAGCTGTAGAAATTGTTTGGCTTACAGTTCCCTGATAGCTATTCTTTACTTGGTAGCTGCTCTTTGCTTAGTCTTGTGGAATCTCACTGTATGAATGCACAACTTAATATTTAGCCAAAGACTCAAGAGGACTTCTAGGCAGTTTTGTGGAGCATTCTCTCTCTCTCTCTCTCTCTCTCTCTCTCTCTCTCTCTGTCTGTCTGTCTCTCTCTGTGTGTGTATGTGTGTCTAGTTGTGCCTTCTCTGGTTTGCTCCCTGGAAATTCGAGCTGCTTCAGCCTTTCTAGACACCAATCTCTATGACCTCAAGTCACTGAGGCCACTATGCTCTTTTTGGCCTTCTCTTTCCTGTGTCAGAGTCTGGTAAATGCCTCTAGGCAAAAAATCAGAACAGTGCTAGGGCCCACCACATACATTCTCACTCTTTCAAGGATTATAGTCCTGTGTTGCTGATTATTCCACAGTTTCTTTCAAATATTTTGTCAGTTTTACAGTTATTCATGGTAGGAAGGATCATGCAGTGCTAGTTCTTGTATCATGGCCAGGAGCCTATATGATAAGCTTTGGGATCTAGGTCATACTAGCTTGTCTCCTGAGATACCATATAGATCTCCATGGGAGGTGCGCACCAAAGAGAAATTAGACAAGGGAATCCTTTTAATGGAGATCTATAAGTTTGAATTTTTGCCTGAGGAAATGCTTATTTATTGGTTTAGTTTTTTTTTCTTTTAAATTGAGCACTTGCCAAGTTGAATGAAGTACAGTCTCTTCCTCCCAGGAGTTCACAAACTAGTTGGAGGAGAAAAGGCAGACAAAGTATGCTAATAAATAACTCCAATAAAAGGCAGCACTTGAATGCTAAACAAATGGTGCAGCTGGTTATAGTAGTTGGATAGAGGGTTGGAGAGGTCAATTCCTGCTGGGGTGATTAAGGAGAGTTTCATGCTGTACCTCCAAATCTCAAAAGCATTCCCTTAAAGGCAGATGAGCAGTAGTTTTCAGTGCATTATGGGAGAGGTAAAGTTTCTCTGAGACAGGAAACTATAGCTCTGGAATTTTAGAAACAATAAGCTTATTGCCTTTTGGCAGGGAGTCAGGTCAAAGGATATCTGCTGAGAATGATGGTTTCCTTTTGAGACTGAGATAGAAGTGAGTAAAAAATAAAAACACTTCCAGAAGGAGGTAATTTGAGAATAGGGTCTTGGAGAGAGTGCAGCTTTTTACTTCAAAAGAGAAGGACAAAGGATCTTCTGAGTTGGGGCAAGAGCCAAAATAATGCCCAGATGAAGAACAATTGGCTAGAGAAAGGGAGAGAGGAAAGAGAAGAGAAAGGAGAGACAGAGAGACAGAAAGGCAGATAGACAATGTGTGTGTGTGTGTGTGTGTGTGTGTGTGCTCTGGAGAGTAGAACCAGCCAGAGCAGAGAGCTCTAAGGTGCTAGGTCAGATATTCTGAACTAGAGGTTAGCCTGGCTTTTTGTGTCTGGAATTTTGATTTGATGCTAGAGAAATCTGAACCTATTTAGGTCTTGAGTAGGGGAGATGCATTTTGACTGCGTGTTGACTGCAGATTATTCAGGAAATGTATTTTAGTGTGGGTCTCAGGCCTGGATGTAGAGAGGGCTAGTGTTGGAGCCCCGTGAAGCTATTACACCAAATAAGCAATGAAAGAGTCAGAGCTGGGCCAATAGATGCCCAGATATAAGAGGAACAAATGAGAAGGAGTCAAAAGTCTAAGGTTTTGGAACCTTGAAGACTTATGGTTTACTGATAAAGAAGACAGTTGGGAAGAGGATCTGGTTTGAGGGGCAAGTGGTTGGCATGACAATAATTCTAGTGTGGCATCCATCCAAAGATGAGGGTATCTGGGATGCACATGAAAGCATGGGCCTGAAGCAGGAATGGGGAAGAGGTCAAGGCTGAAGATATCGATGTGGGAGCTATTTACATGCACGTGGTAATTTAATCCTTGAAAAAAAGAGATGAGTTTTCCAGAGGACGTAGAGAGAGGAAAGAAGGAAGGTCACAGCTTAGATTTAGGAAAGTTCATAATTAGACAGTAGAATGGAGTCAATGACATCACCAGAAAGAATTTTCTTACAAGAAGGAACAGAGGCCTCTGTGGATCATGTGGTGTTATAGAAGCTCAGCAAGGCAGATGGAGTGGAGAGACCATTGTGTTGGACCAAGAGCAATTCACGGAGTGTCTTGTACAGAGCAGGAACAGGCAGAAGGAAGTTTAGAGAGAGTGCTGAAGAAATAGAAGCAAAACGTGTTTAAGTAGTCATTTAAGAAGTCTTTGAAAGAAAGAAGAGAAAGAGAATGAAATATCAGTGATGTCAGAGGGTTCAGCAGCATGGAGGAAACATGTTTTATGATAGCAAACCTCTTAATGTTGAAAATCAGGAGGGAAAAAGCTAAAGAGAAAAGATTTCAGGTATCTGAAAGAGAGAGGATAATTGTATAGCAAAACCATTCAATCTAGGTGCAGACTCTTATACAGGACTTAGATGCCGTTATATCTAGGGCCCTGTCTGCTTCTGGAGTTTCCTCTTAAAATAGAGTTCATTCAATCTTATTTAAAAAAATATTTCTGCTACTCGGGAGGCTGAGGCAGGAGAATGGCGTGAACCTGGGAGGCGGAGCTTGCAGTGAGCTGAGATTGCGCCACTGCACTCCAGCATGGGCGACAGAGCAAGATTCTGTCTCAAAAAAAAAAAAAAAAAAAAAAAAAAAAAACCTTAAATGTATATGTATATTTCTGGGGATGTGGGGATCACTATTTTCCAAGGCTTCCCTGTTACCTGTTGGACAAGTCTGTTGGGAAAATATTTAATAGTGGTCAAATTCTATTCCTCTGTAATTTAATGATAACAGCTACCATTGAACAGTTTGACATAGACTGCTTTATTTAGTCCTCACTATAATGTGGTAGTTTTATGATTTTAGTACTCTTTTCGTTTTTGCAAATAAAGAAACTGATGCTCAGAGAGGTCAGATAACACGATCCAGGTTGCACAGCCAGTAAGTGAAGGATCTGGTATTTGAATTTCAGCCTGTTTAACTCCACATCTATGATCTCTCTGTCTTATGTCTTTTACTTGTGACTGTAGTTTGGCTGACAAGTATTAACTTCTCCCCAACATGAGGGTCCTTCAAACATTTGAAGTCAGTTATCCCACATATCCTATATATTTTTCTTTGTCTCCTCCTTCTTTTCATTCTCCTCCTCTTTCTCTCCTATCCCTTTTCTTTAAAAAATCATTAATTCAACAAATAATTATTGGGCAGCTTCAGTATGTTAGACACTGTACTAGATGCTGCACAGACAGCAATGAACAAAACAGACATGGGCTTTGCCCGCATGGGATTTATAGAATGGTGAGGGAAGAATATTAAATGTGCAAATGAACAAATAAATATATAATGAGAAATGATGATACATGCTGGGAAGGAAACAAACGTCTCTAGCCCCCTTGTCACTTTTCCTCATTCACCACAGGTTTCACAGTGCTCACTGAGCCTGCTTCTTCCCCCCTGCCCCACACGCCCTCTCCTCTTAAAGCATGGCCCCAGATGAGGACAACATTCTGCTCCTGTGATCTGACCCTCTATAGCGAGGCCCTTGAACTGGGAAACCTGTGTTGTTGCAGTTTAGCGGTAGGCATGGGCAGAACTGCAGGCAGGGGTACAATAGAGAAGGAAAACAACCTCCTTCTCTGAGATGAGAAGACAAATGTATCCAAGGCCATGCAGAGATGAAAGGCAGAGAGCCCAGGAGTGGGGCCAGACAGCGGTCTCAATCTGTTCTGTGAAGTATGAGCAAAGGTTGTGCTAAACAGATCACAAAGCCATGCATCCCCTTCCATTCCTCGCATCCTGCCTTTCCCTTCATGCTCCAGCCCCCTTGGACCCACACATCTGCTTGACAAATGCAGCCAAGGGGGAAAGCACAAAATTTACTAAATAGAATGCTTCACTGTGGCTGGCTAGGTAGGAAAAGGGATTCCTTCTCTGTCTCCCTCCTTCCCTCCCTCTCTCCCTCCCTTCCTTCCTTCCTTCCTCCCTTCCTTCTTTCCTTCCTTCTTTCCTTGCCCCTTCCCTTCCCTTTCCCTTTCCTTTTCCCTTTCCCTCCTTCTCTTCCTTCCCTCTTACCTTCTTTCTTTCATAGTATTAATCTTGACACCATAATTTGGAAGAATCTGATTGGAGAAAAATGTCATGAAGCACAAATGCAGATTTGATATATCTGACCTTTCTTCTCTTCAGAACAATAAATGTCAAATAGCTTAAAATGACAGCCTGGATAACCAGAGATTATTTATGTGCTTAAATATTTAGGCAAGAAACATAGTTTAGACTTAAGTCTAATTTACATGAACATGCTGACCTATGTGAATCAGAAGCACTTTAAGGGATCCATCACAAGCAGTGGTGTTTGCATTTCAGAAAACAGAAAATGTGAAAAATCAGAATAGAGTAGAAGTGGTAAATGACCCTTGATAAGTAATGAGAATGTTTGATAACATCAAGAAATTACTTTGCAGCACAAAATTGTGTTTGCATTTTTCATATCTGAGTGGTGTGGTGGCATCTGGAGAAGGACCCACAACCCACATGTCCTCTCCTTTATCAGATGCAAAGTATTTTATATGTGCATGTGTATGTGTATCATTTATTCCCATTTTACTGAAGACATTTACTGTTAAAACAGAAGGAGGGAGAATTATCTTGCTTCAGCTCTGTAAATCCTGATAGAAGTGTAATCCCCCAGACAGAGTGTAATTCTCTACTCAACCTCACACTCAATTATCATCAGGAACAGGCTCAGAAAGGTGGGTTTCTTGTTTTGTTTTGTTTAAAGAACTCTGAACATTCGTTAACCCCTGTACTTCTGAAAGGAGAGGATATTACATTGTGTTAAGGAAGCAGAATCTGGAATTAGTTCTAGGTTTGACACCCAGCTCCAGACATTCTTAAGCTAATATGAAAATAGTTTTTCTGGTCTTAGCATCCTTATCTGTAAAATTATAGTACTTGCTTTATAGGGTTCTTTTGAGGAGTAAATGAGGTAAATTTTAAGAAGAGTTTAGTGTAGCATCTGTGACATGGTTAGAGCACTGAAGATATTATCCATTATCTTCTGTTTTATTATTATTGATGTTGTTATTAATAAAGGGGTTTCCCCTCATTATTTTTTGTGGCTTCCTTTCTATCTCATTTTTGCTGAGATCTAACTATTCTCACAGTTAGAGTTTATCTTGTGGAAAATATAACTAAATAAATGAGGGTCACAATATAATTCTTTAGATATTGAGCACTGGAGCAGCTGTTTTGCTCTAAGAGTGAAAGTTACCAGAAAACCAATCCTGTCCCATTATGCATTGCCTAAGGATTCCATATTGAACCAGCGAATCTTTTGTTTATTTATTTATTCATGTTGAAGGATTTTAATTAAATCATAAATAATATTTCCAAAGTCAGGATATTCATTGTAAGATCTTTTAATTTCACAGCAGAAAAAAACCCTATTTCAATAACTAACTAGGAAAATTTAAAAACTGTAATGTGAGTTGAAGCAGTGGAAAGAGGGAAGAGAGTTCTCGACCAGGAGTTGTGAGATTAGGTTTTCATTTTAGAATATACCAAGTTATTCTTTTTTAATCTGGGCAAATCACCTAAACTTCCTGAGTCTTTGTTTCTGTAATATCAAATAAGTGAGTTCTAATCTCTGTCCTTTTCATATTAAAATCCTATGATTCTAACCTATTTCCTGGGCTGATGCTGAAGCATGACTGGGAAGGTGTTATTTCTATAAACAGTTGCAGGGTCCGTTAGAATTTCATAAAGCAGTAATAAGAAATCATCACCTTCTCTGATTCTTATGTAATTGGTAAATTATGATAAGAGCTGCTTACCTCTAATATGCTTTAAAGACCATGACTAGATTAAGAACATTTATTTTTCTTTCTACCCCAAAGGAAAACCCAAATTATTTTGATGCTTTTCTGGATATATAGTAAACTCACCAGAGCTGCTTTGTTATGGTTTTCTGTTCCAATCATTATAGCCAATTGTGTGAACAGAGGCAATCAATCAATTGATTGATAGACCAACTGATAAATAAATATCTACCTACTTACATACATACATAAAAACTATTTTCTCTTCCTTATTTGGGTAGGGTTTATGTTAGGGTTGGGACTGAGGGACAAGGGAGTGTTTGACTCATCTGTCTCAGATGAGGGACGTAGTAGGCGCTCAGTAAATATTTGCTGAATCAGTGAAGGAAGAAAAAAGGAATGAATGAGGGATATAAATGTGGTATATTAAAAGGACTATCTGAGCAAGTTCTTTCTATCTTTCATAGCCCATGTCCCAGTGAATACAGCTTGTGTTTATACATTCACTTGCCCAATTCTTAATGGTTCACTGACTTTTTCCTTAATTCCAATTCTTCATTCTACAAATAGTCCCTGAGACTTTCCATGCGTTCAGGACTTTGTACGGTTCTATAGGGTAACAGGCAATAATTACAAGATGTAGTCCCTGACTTTAAAGACTTAAAGTCTAATGAGGTAAACAAAAAATATAGGATTTTGAGTCAGCATTTGGGGATTCAAGACTTGACACCATCATCAGTTAGTTTCATGATCTTCATTTAAACTCTCTGGGTCCTAGTTAAGTGCAGGGATGATACCAACCCCACCAGGTTGAGGGGATCAGATAAGATTATATGCATAGGTTAGTGCACTGTAAAATCAAAAGCACTGTGAGCATTATACTACATACTTTAAAATAATACTAGATGGTGTGAGCTTAAGAGCTAAATGTCTTCGGGCAAAGAACAGTGAGTAGGATTGGTGAGTACAGGCTTCCTGATGGAGCTGAAGCTTGATGGGTTTTGGAGGAGTAGGGTTTGGAATAGTCAGGATGAAAGAGGAATAGCATTCCAGGTGGGGACCACAGAGTATGGAGCACAAGGTCAGTCCAGTTTGTCTTCCTGTAGTGCCTAAAATGAGCCTCATGCTCTACTGGGCCCTCTCAGTTTGGAGAAGAGATTTTATGTCGGTAAGTACAGTTGGATGGGCAGGATGGGGCCAGGACCTTGGAGAGCAAGCAGAGGGTGTTTGACTTTCTTGCAGCAGGAAACAGGCAGCCATCAAAGGCCTGATGTAAATAGCATTTTAGGAAGATGAAACTGGCAATGGTGTGTGGTCTGGATTAGCATGTAGGGACTGGGGTCAGGAATCTGGGGTGGAGGAGAGGGAAGATTTGGAAAGATGCAGATTCAGCAGGATGATGGAGAAGAGGATGGCTTCAGAAAAACTTCACAGGCCTTGGCACAAGGGGCCGAAAAAGAGAAATTCAAGCTTTCTAGCACTTTTTGCCAGCAAGATTAGAATAATAATGGGTCATTTGATAGAAAAGAATTTGGGAAGAAAAAACATTGGGGAGGAAGAGTTGAGTTCAATTTGCACCTGGGGAGCCGAGATGATAGCCCAACTCCAAGCAGCTGTGTCCTGCTAGCTGGAAACATGGCACTAGAACTCATGTAAGAAGTCAGGGCTGGGCATGGGGATTTGGGAGTCATCAGCACAGAGACTTCTCATAAATTATGTGCTTTGCTTAGAACTTAATTTCATGTCTTTTTGGAAGATAAGAGAAATGAAAAGCTTGCTGAATTATGGATTATGCAACTGTATTCAAAGTAATTCTCTCTTTCCCCCTCCCCTCTGCTTCCCTGATGAATTTTGTGTTCTGTTCTTCCTGTTGATCCACACCCCCTACCCCTAATTCTTTGTAAACTGAGGAACACAATAAACTATTTCTTTCAGATCAGAAGACTGTCAGTGAAGGGATTAAGGTGATCGAGAATGTTCACCAGAAGATACGGCGATCTTCCTGACCCCCTCTCCAATCCTTCATAGATCACAGGGAGAGAGGCTTTCTTTAGAGGAAAGCAACAATTTATATTTATAGGAGGAAATGTTTAAGGAGCTAAATTCTCAGTTCCCTGGACAGCCCTGTTGTTTGATTTGCAGCTTTTCTTAAGTAAAGCACTGATTCTCAATGAGAGATGAGCGGCTTGGCCAATAATGCAATCAGATAAAGTAGGGTTTTCAGACCTGGTGGGTGGGCTTGAAGCTGGGACTCCTTCCCTGGCACCAAGCTTGCCTTTGTAGTTTGAACTGAGTTAGCATAAACAGCGGGTGCAACACTCAGAAGCTGAATTTTCTTTAGTTTAATCCTCTTTGTCCTCCTCTTCAAAGGGAAAAATTTGCAAGCAATTTGCTGAGACATGCTCAAGAATTACCTGCCAGAGAGAATATCAGACATGACCTCAGATAAGGCAATGATGAGAAGGGGGATTGGAGAGAAGAGAAATGTGGCACTGAAGTTTATTGAACATCTATTACATGCCAGGCACTTTACAGACATTCTCATCTAATCTTCACAGCTGCAAGAGACAGATAGTTTTATCTCTGTTTCACAAATGAGGCTCTGTGGGGTTAAGTGACTTGCCTAGGTCAAATGACTCATAAGTGGCTGAACTGGGATTTGATCTTAGGTTTCTAAGCCTGAGGATCCCCTCCTCGTTCCAAATCTGTGCTTTCTTCTCACCCCTGCTATGAGGAAAAGCTTGCTTGCTTGCTTGCTTGCTTGCTTGCTTGCTTGCTCTCTCTCTCTCTCTCTTTCTTTCTTTCTTAAGACATTCAGCTGTGATTTTCTGGAAGCCTGTGGAGTAGGATGAAAATCGAGTGGCTCTCATATCTATCTACTCCTCGTCTGTCACTCACTTCCCTTGTCCCTCACTCCTTCTTGATTTCTTTTCTCTTGTTCTCTACCTCTCATAGTGGGATGTGCTCCTTTCTTCTTACATGTCTCTCTCTTGAGGTGGAGGGGTTAAAGGATGAGGAGAGTGATGAAGCAGCAGAGCGTCAAGTCCTTCATCTCTCACAGTGTCCTGTGCACGTTTCATTGCCTTTCTGTGAAGCCCAGTCAAGGGCGTGTAGATGGCCCATGTTTGCTGGTTACTGCTTCTGACTGTCATTTTGACTGCGGATAGACATTGAGTGAAGTACCCACTCTGTGCAAGGCACCACAGTGGGTGCCAGAAAAAATTATTTTGAAGTGGCTAAATTGAAATTTCCTTAAAATAAAAATGAGTGTGCTTACGTTTTGCCTATTTAGGAAATAGGGGCTAAGGAGAAAGGAGTGAGGAAGCCAGAAGAGGAGGCAGCGACCCTGCTTAAGAAGCCAAGGAGTTCCCTGGTATACAAAGTGACAGCTTGATATGCAGCCTTGGCAACCTGCCCTGGTCCACTATATGGTCACTGCCTGGTCTAAAACCCTTGAGTGTCCAGGGCTCCCTGTTAGGTGGCCCATCTCCATTGACACTGCTCAGGTGGTACCCCATGCAGATTCTCTACTCTCTTTTCTCTTCCCCTGAGATCTATTTAATGATAAATGAAAGAATGCATGAACTGGCCTACTCTCAGGATAGATCTGTGTGTGCTTTCCAAAGCCCATTCATCTGGGCAAGACAGGGAAATTGGCGTGGGCCAGAGCCCCTTAAAATGCTCTCAGGTCAGGTCAGCCTTTCAGAGAAGAGTGGCTAATAGTGAGGATTTTAGGTCAATGAAGAGGCGAGACCAGCTGTGATGCCCATGATGATGAAGCCCACGAAGCAGCCACTGCAGTGCTTGGCCCATGGTAAGTGCATCCTGAACCTTCTAGTTAGAATACATTTGGCTGCAAGTAACAGAGACCCGTTCAGAGTAGCTCAACAATCAAGGGTGTGGTATTTCTTTTTTTCTCTTTCTTTCTTTTTTTTCTTTTTTTTTTTTGAGATGGGGTCTCACTCTGTCGCCCAGGCTGGAGTGCAGTGGTGTTATCTCAGCTCACTGCAACCTTTGCCTCCCGGGTTCAAGCAATTCTTCTGCCTCAGCCTCCTGAGTAGCTGGGACTACAGGTGCATGCCACCATACCCAACTAATTTTTTGTATTTTTAGTAGAGACGGGGTTTCACCGTGTTAGCCAGGATGGTTTTGATCTCCTGACCTTGTGATCCGCCTGCCTCAGCCTCCCAAAGTGCTGGGATTACAGGCATGATCCACTGTGCCCAGCCCTAGGGGTGTGGTATTTCATGTGAGAGCTTGAGAGCACATGTGACTCCAGGGTAGGTTAATTCAGCTGCAACATTACAAGCTCAAGAGCCCAGGCTCTCTGTCTTTCTACTCTGCCTTCCTCAGGGTGAGTAGCCGCCCCCAGGGTGATGGGTGGCTGCAGAAGCCCTTGGCACCTTCACACACAGCTGCTTGCAGGGGGCAAAAAAGGGGCAAGGGTCTTTGGAGAACAAAAATCTTTCCCGAAGGCCCTCACTGGATTTCCTTCTTTGTCCCATTTGCTGGGGCTGCCTCACACGATGCCAAAGTCAATCACTAGAGAAAAGAACACAATTCATAGTCTCAAGCTCGAGTGCACATCAGAGTCACTGGAGGGTTTGTTAACACAGGCATTGCTGGGCCCCATCCCCAGAGTTTCTCATTCAGTAGGTCGGGGGTAGGGCCTGAGAATTTGCAGTTCTAACAAAACCTGCCGGTCCTGGGGCCACACATTGAAATGCATTGATTTGAACTATTCAGCAATCATCTCCCAGGCCCCTGAAGTACCTAGAAGCCCCAAATCTGAAAAAAAGCAGAGGCTCTGTGAGCAAGAAGGAAGGAGGAAGTGCCTGCCAGGTAGTCACATCATCTTTAATTTTTGGAGTTACAGATGGATATCAAACACTGAGATTAGTAGACCACCAGAGGTGGTGGTGGTGGCTTCTCTCCTCCCCACCCTTTTCTTCTGTTCCTCCTCTTCTTCCTCACTGTAAACTTCGGTGCCATCTGAAGCTTCTCTCTTTCTGAACATCACATTCTTCCTTGTTTTGTAATGGGTACACCCAAAGCTTACCATGTTGGGGACATTCAGTCCTGTGGCAAGGGCTGCTGGTCTTTCAGTGGAAGCTGAGCTGCCCGAGCTCAGCCATCAGGGAGCTTGATGTGGCGGTTACTTCTAAATGAGCACTCATTATTGATGTTAATTGAACTTGAAGTTAATGAAAAAGGATTATTTTACAGGGCTTAAGTTGAGGCCAAAATTGTTATTACAGGTTAATTATTATCCTTAAAAGGCACCATTACAGCCATGATTGTTTTTTATCAGCTTTTTCTCTGGTGCTGAGATTTCTTCGAAGGCAGATTCCTGATATAATTAGTCACCTCATCTAATTCTTAATCACCAATCACTTCTCTCCAGATAAAGGTTAATCAAAGGGATGTGAGTTGGGTACTCTCCCTTAATCGCATTTGATCAGTTTCAAACAAACCCTTTCTTCTATTTTTGTTTAGGAATGTGGCCTTTCCCCGTATTTTCAAACCTAAAACTTGGAAGAAGAATTCAGAATGGGTTCACCGAAAAAATCAGACAGGCCTGCTATGGACAGCTCTAGGCTGCCTGGGGCTGGGGAAGGTGGCAGGAAAGAGAGGCCCTGAGGCCATGGAACTGTGTCACCTGCTGTCCTTTCTCTTCACCCTCCCTCTTTCTTTTATTCTTCCCTTTCCCTTTTCTCTTCTTCTAGTCTTGCCTTTACTCCTTCCATCCTCCAACTTCATTTTCACTTCTGTCTGACTTCAAGCTCATAATTTTGCCTTTGGATATGACTGCTTTTCTTTCATCTTCTCTTTCCCCTTTCCACCTCTCTCTATAGCACAAGCCTGCACACTGGGCTAGAACTAGGGGGAGGCTGTTTGGCTCCTGCTACTGAGGAAATATAACATGGGCCACAAGAAGGACTCTCACCGTACCCAGGGAGAAGGGCAGGGTACAGGAGGGGCATGGACATTTGAGGAAAGCCTGAGAAGGGTAAGGGCTCTTCCTTGAGAGAAAGGGAAGGCTGAAGGGAATAGGATTGAGTTACACAATTATAAAAAGTCCTAGGTAGAAGGAGGAGAGATTTAATCACCAAATCCCAGGGTAACTGAATGAGAGAGGAGGTCTTGAGGCTTTAGCACCCTGTCTCACAGTGCCACACTGCTGACTGGTGGAGGGAGGAGCCATCAGGGAAATCCTGCTGAAAAGCCTCCCAAGAGAATCCTCCCTGGGGCCCCCACCCCACCACCTCCCACTCTGATGTCCCTGGTAACAGAACAAATGCACCCTTCCCTTCCTCTTTACAATTGTTTTTAAACTGAAGTATTATTTATGAAAGTGACATGTGAATGTACTCTCCTTTTTCTTTACTTTTTCCTTCTTTTTATTGTTATTTATTTATTAATTAATTTTTTTTTTGAGATGGAGTCTCACTCTGTCCAGGCTGGAGTACAGTGGTACGATTTCAGCTCACTGAAACCTCTGCCTCCGAGTAGCTGCAGAACCACTTGCAACCTCAGGTGGTTCTCCTGCCTCAGCCTTCCGAGTAGCTGGGATTACAGGCACCTATCAACATGCCCAGCTAATTTTTGTATTTTTAGTAGAGACGGGGTTTCACCATGTTGGCCAGGCTGGTCTTGAACTCTTGACCTCAAGTGTTCCACCCACCTCAGCCTCCCAAAGTGTTGGGATTACAGGCATGAGCCACCGCGCCTGGCCTCTGCTAACTTTTTAAAGGTGGATTGTAGATCTCTATTTACATCTATGTCTATCTATATCTAAGCTCTGCTTTGCTCAAAACATCAACCTAGGCTCTTTCTCCTTCACTAGAGGTAACCTGTGTTAATAGCTTGGTGTGTATTCTTCCCAATATTTCCATGTATTTACACAATACAGAAACCTGCCTGTGTGAGGTAATGAAAAACCCAAGCTGAGCATCTTCTTACAATGAACTTTTACTGTCCAATGGGATCATGTGGAGGTGCGTGATGGAGATTTTATTCTTCTTACAATGAACTTTTATTGTCCAATGGGATCATGTGGAGGTGCTCCACACTTGTCTTAGCTTGCTAGAGCTGCCATCAGAAAATCCTACAGAATGGGAAGCTTAAGCAGCAGAAATTTATTTTCTCACAGTTCTTGAGGCTAGAAGTCCAAGGTTAAGGTGCCACAGGTGGGTTTCTCCTGAGACCTCTCTCCTTGATTTGCAGGTGGCTGTCTTCTCTCCTTGTCCTTGCAGAGCCTTTTCTCTTTGTCTCTTCCTCTTCTTATAAGGATGTGAATCCTGTTAGATTAGAGCCCCACCCTTATTGACCTCATTTAACCTTAATTACCTATTTAAAGGCTGGATCTCCAAATGCAGTCACATTGGGGATTAGGGCTTCAACAGATGAATGAACGTGACTCAGCCCGTAACAGCACAAAATCTGCCCTCCCAGCTCTGTGCTTTTGTCAAGACATTCCCTCTTGGGGGTCGGAGGTACCCTTTGTATTCTTCTTCATCTTGGCAAATGTTCTTCGTACCTTAAGTCTCCACTCAAATGTCAACTCCTCTAAGACCCATTTCCTCTGCAGCCCGGCTCCCTGCTTCCACACAAGGGCTTTGTGCTCCCCAAGAGCTTGTGACCCCTGCCTTGTAGGAGCTCTTTTTGTCCTGCAGCTTCTGTGGCAGTTTGTCTCCCTGCACCCACACTACCATACCTACTCTCCCATTGCAGGAAACAGTTCATGGATCCTAGGGACACATTCAGTAAGTTTCCCTTACTTCAGGATGGAGAGAGCTGTGTCAGAATGTTCTGGCATCAAACACAGGTTGTGGGGAATGTAGGGAAGACCAGGGAAAAACACAGACCCATAACCTGTAGCCTACCCTCTTTCTTCACCCCAAGCCACTGAGAATACTGGACAGCCAGTATCTCACTCCTGTGGTCCTCTTTTCAAAAACACATCGGCCAAAAGAAATGACCTAGGAGAGCAGATAAACTGGCCAATAAGATGGTAATTAAGCAGATGGAGGCTCACAATGAACTGTTGAATTGAGATGGCTAGGGATCTCCTGAACTAAGCCACTGGAAGGACTACTAAAAGGCACATATCATCTAGAAGGAATAAAATAATAAACTATGGCCAATCATGCAACACTCATTTAAAAGACCATGAATTCCTTTCTGCATTGTTTCCTTTCTGTGGGTTTCTGAAGGCATTGGTGTTGTTAAGGCATTCTGGTGCTGGACCATAGTATAGCCAGGCTCACAGCCACAGACCAGGGATCCCTGGAGCTGCAGCTTCCTGCTTCCAGCCTCAATTCTTGTCTCTCTGCCAAGCCTTTCAGTCTTAAACTTTCAGCTCATTGCCCATTCTCCTTTAAAGAAAAGCTCTGTGTTTTAACCTTTGTTCACTCTCAATGTCTTTCGGAATGAAAAAAGACTTTCTAATGGAATCCCAGTGCACTGCAGTGTGGTCTGCCTTCCCAAGTTGTCACCCCTCCACAGTGCAGAGTGCTGGGGAGGAGGTCATCCCAAGTAACAACTTTCAGAGCTAATTAAGGTTTTACATCATTCTAGAGAATTAGGATCAACCAGCGGCCCTTGTGTGTAACTTGCCAAATCCAAATCCTGCCTTATCTCCAGGCATAAAAGCTACATTAAGTTTTAAGACCTGATTCAAAAACACATTATGGATAATGATGACACCTTGATATTAAGTCTTCAGAAAGGAAGCACATGACTTGACATATGGAGCACATGACTTGACATATGGAGGTTTTACCACTGATGGAAACATGGGGCTTTTTATGGTTCCCATTGATTGTTAAACAAATGCTACATCTCTCTATAGGAGATATTGACCACCAAGTGCATTTAAGAGGAGTATGTCGGGGTGTGTGTGTGTGTGTGTGTGTGTTTGTGTGTGTGTGTGTGTGTTTGAAGCATCACATTCTCACAGATACTAGTATGTTCCCGTCATCCTCCTAGAAAAGCAAAATAGTTGAGAATTAAAAGGGAGTCCAGAATCACAGAATACTGCATTCAAAAAGGTGCTTTAGAAGTAAGAATGAAACATTAATAGAATGATATCACCCTGATTTTTAAAATTTAATTTTTCTGTACTAGAAGAAATTATCCTGGACTTGAAGTCATTCTGCTTGGGGTTTTGCTGGTCCCCACTAATTTACTAAGTTATCTTAGATAAGTTATTGATAGTTTTTTTCCCTGCTCCCCCTCCCCAGGTTATTGGTAGTTGTGAGAGCTAACACTTTGTTGAATGTTTTCTCCCCTGCAAAAGTCAGGCTTAACCTCCATTTCTCATGTAGCCCTCCCAGCAATGCCACGTGGGGGATAGTATTGCTTTTCCCATTTCACAGAGGCTTAGAGAGGTTGTCCCTTGCCCAAGTATCTCACTGTTCAGTTGTGGAGCAGGAGCTCAGGACTCCTGGATCCCCAAACACCTGCCCTTAGCCCCCATGCTATGTTGCCTCCCCTGGGTTTAACACCACCATCCACAACAGCAACAAATATTCACTGGGGGCTACCATGAGCCAGGCACTGTGAAGGAAACAGACATGGCCCCTGCCCTCAGAGTTTGCAGATGAGGACAGCCAAGTTCTCTCTGGGTTTCTTGATCATTTTCTATTATAAGAAAAGGGTTTGGGTCCTTGACACCCCTTTCAACTTGAAAGTTTATGAGCACTTAAATTATTTGCAGTGACTTCTAGTTTTCCATTTCTTCATTCGTATCACCAGTTACATGCTTATATTGGGTGACTGTCATGTGCCAAGCACTCTGCTAAGGGTTTTTGTAGAACTACTGAATTTTGTCCTCATATCAGTCCATAAGAGACTTTAAATGAGGAAATGGAGGTTCAGAGTTTACCTTGCTCAAGGTCATTCTGCTTGTAAATGTCAGAACTGGGATTTGAACCCAGCTCTGTCAGCTCCATGCTTTTCCCCATAGAAGAAACTTCTTGAGCCACTGTTCTTGAAATTCAGTAAGTTCCATTCATTTAAACAAGCTAATTTCTATTATTACAGATATTATGGAAACAGTAATCTACGTAACTGAGTCATCTGGAAGCCTGTGCTGCAGTCTGCTTATTAGAGGCAGGATTGTATACCAGGGAATTCAGACCTGAACAGGACCTAAACCTTGGTGTTTGGTTGCCAAGCTGAGAAAGAATCCTGGAACATTCCCCACAGTGAAAGTTAACATTTTGCCACTTAGAATCAAATTCGGGAGGTTGTTAGTTATAACAACAATAACAATAACACAAAGAACTAATATTTATACACCTCTTTATAGTTTCCCTGGCCCTTCCACATCCATTTTCTTATTTGATAAGAAGAAAAGAATAATGGAATGAATTGGGAGCTGGTGAACATATAAAATGATATTGAGGCTGCATGGCAGAAAGTCAGAGCAATGAGAAAAAGGAGCAGGGTCACTCATCAGAAGCAGATGGGCTTATCTTTAAATACCTGATCAGGAAGGCAGCTGAGCAGTAGATAAATGTAAAAAGGACCATGAAGCTGAGAATAAATGGAGCAATCTTTTTCTGAATGGAAAGTGGCTGAAATCCCAGGGCCAGGGAAGGGGAGGGGTGGAAATATTCAAGAATTATGGCCTGAGAAGAATCCCTAAAGCTGTCAGGCAGCAGGGGCGACAACAGCACATCAGGAGTGGCCCAGAATAGATGGCCCCATAAATCAAGGAGGGAAACATTATGGCCAGCGCAAGGCAGTACTGTGCCCTAATGGGGAATGGGCTGGAGGACTTTATAAAGCTGGGTTGGCCAGGCTCTGGGCACAATGGAATTGACCAAGTCAACCTTGGAAAGGCTCAAAATTCAGCATGTTTTAAAAAAATGGACTAGTGGGTGCTTAGATCATTCTGAGTATCCACAAGTCATTCTCCCCCCTCTACCACAAGCTTACTTAAAAGGAAGAAGTATTATACACAGTTGGGAAGTATGTGTGTGGGAGCAGGGAAGAAGATGCATTCTCATTGCATTAATGTGCGTAGAGTCAGTCTGGAGTGTGGGGACAGTCTGGGCTCTAGCGTGGGTGGTCATGGTGTCAAGTCTTAGGTCTGCCACTTACGAATCATGTGACCAATCCCTTCAGCTCTCAGCCTTCAGATTTTCTCTATAGAACAGGGACAGTAATACCTTAATAATTGCTCATTGTGAGGGTCCAATGGGCTGATTGATTGTAAAGTGCTTAGCACAGGGTTTAGTGCAGATAAGTGATTAGAAGCAATTATTAGAGGGGACAGTGGAACTACCCTTCATTCAGAAATCACAGTCCAACAGATGAAGAGTATAGTGGACAGTTTTCACTTGGTTATGCTGCGTGAATAACCTCAAATTCTTGATACTTTCCAACAACTTTATTATTGATGTTGCTTGTTGGTGCAGTGGGATGGCTGCTGCTCTTCTTCAGGCTGTCAGTAGATTCAGATCTGCTCCATGCATCTTCCCATCCTGTGATTCAAGATGAAAGGGCATCTCCTATGTGAGCTGAATATTCTCAGATTGGAGGAAACTAGTGCAAGAGAGCTCTGAGAGCCTCTTGAAACTGCCACATTGCCCCTTCTGCACACATTCCAATCAGCAAAGGAAATCTTGAAGCCAAGGCCAACATCAGTGGACAGGAAACCACATCCTTCCATGGTGGGGGTGCAGGTAGTAGGTAAGACTGAATATTTGCAAGAGAGTAATAGGGTGTGCCTCAAAGGGCATGGTTAGGACCATGGTTGTACATAGAAAGCCGGTTGACTGGGTTAGGGAGAGATTGGTTGAACTCAGTCAAGCCACCATTTACTAAAGCAAAAGACATGTGGTCAGAGAATGAGCTTTTGCTGAATCTTTCTCTTGATGCTAGCATTGTACAGAGAGAAGCTGGATGTCAGGAAGACTGTGCCCTTCCTTGCAGTCCTGCTGCATCTAAGCTTCCACCTGTGACATGGCACTGACCTTCCTTATCAGCCCCTTCAGCTCCTAGGCTTGGGTAGCATGTGGTCCCAGGGAAGTGTGAACTGATGGTGAGTCATTCTCTCTCTAAGCAGTTGGATGTGAATATTAACACTTGTTTCCCAGGCAGCATCAGAATTCAGCATTTTCTTATAGTTCTTATGGTTCTCCCCAGAACTATAAAATGTTCTACTTTATGGGCCTCAGATTTGTCATTTTTAAATGAGATGGGATAGAGTGATCTCTAAGGCCATTTGCAGTTCCTATGGTCTATGACCATGATGATTTTACAAGTGTAGAGAAGGCATCTGAAGTGCTTGATCTGAAACATGCTAATGCAGATAAGTGTTATGTCAACATTGTGCTTATTTAAGATGCATAGTGTTACCCACATTACTGTAAGTAGAGATTGTCACCCGGCATCCTCTCTAGGTCTCCTGTACCCTGGAGTTTCTCCTACTCTCACCTCTTTTTAAAAATCTGCTGCAAGACATCCTTAAACTGTGCATGCCTAATCATTGTTAACACTCTTGAAGAAGATGAGCCTTTACCCCCAAAGGAAGGCCTTTCTAATACTGTGATGTTACAGGTGTATGGAGGAAGACATTTTAGGGCAGGAAGGCCCCTCTTTTTCCTCTATTCCAATTTGATAAATACTTATAAAGCATCCATTAGGTTTCCCCCCAAGCTATGTGCTTTCATTTATGTTGTCTCTTTTAATCCTCACAAAACCCCCTTGAAGAAAATATTACTATCCCCATTTTTATAGATAGAGAACACCGAGTTCCAGAGAAGTTAACTTACCCAGTCATACAGCCAGGAACAGCAGGTGTGAGATTCAAACTTAGGTCTTCTTCACTGAAATTTCCATTCTATTCAGTTCCTCTTTTATTATGTTTTGAGAAGATGTGTGCTGAGCTATGAGTTGGGGGCTTCCTTCCAAGACTTGAGAAGTCTTCTGGCCTGTGTGGCCTGAGGCAAGTCTCCAATAACACAGAATTGAGGCAAGGGAACGGTTAGCTACCAGGAGACCTTGGTTCTTAGATGGGGGGACACAGCTGATTAAGTCACTGGCTTAAGATGAGTCGTATATGTGAAGCAGGACTGATGGCAGCTACCCTGCCACCCGCTCAGAGATTCAGAGGGGCCGTGGAGAGAGAATATACGTAAAAATTCTTTGTAAACTGTTTAACATCATTCAAATAGATGACAATGTTGTTGGTTCTCTTTAGAAGGAAATGGGAACAAACCTAACTGCCATTTTCCCTCAACAGAGGTTCTGCCTGAAAAGGCAATCCTGTCCCCTAAAATGTTTGTTTTGAGGGTTCTAGGACACGGCAAAGAATATCACGCCTATAACCTTTTTGTAGTAGAGAGTACAACAGAGAATTTCAGACTCACTTTTAGAAAACTCAGGGCATAGAAATCCAGATTTCTACCAAAGGCATTGGTGGATTCAGGCCCAGGCCTGTTTGACTCTGGAAACTTCCACTGTTTCATTCTGAAACAGTACTAATACTTAGGTTAGGTATGGTACTAAAAGGGGTTACCAAACATAAGACATAGCCCCCTTCATTCTAGTGGCACATGGTCTGCTTGAGGTGGGAAAAGGCACACTGACATAAAACAGCAAAACCAAAGTGCTAAGGGGCAGAGGGCATAGAGTCAATTGTCAAGATAAATGCCTGGTTAAAGACCCAGCAGAGCTTGTCTCTCTCCTACTTGCAGATGCTCTATGTTCAGCTGAGAGTGCAAATGGCCTGGAAATCCTTGCTTAGGGGACTGGAAACCTCTGGATGTACACGTTTTGAAGCATTTCTCTACAATGTCTTTGTAAAGCATCTTGCTGTCTTGGTTTTTCAGCTTGCTTTCACAAGAGGGTCCAGCAACAGCTGGTGGTTGTTCTTATCCTTCAATAACTTGGGTCATAAAGAGATGAAATGACTACACAGTCATCCAGGACTAGCAGTACTGGAGTCTGTGTCCATCACAGGGCCTTTATGCACCTCACCTGCCTGCCCTCCTGGTTTCTCTCTCTCTCTCTCTCTCTCTCTCTCTCTCTCTCTCTCTCTCTCTCTCTCTCTCTCTCTCTCTGTCTATCTATCTATATAGATACAGATAGATAGATATTCCACAACAGTACTGGGGGTCTGTGCATGGCCAGACCCAGGAAGTGGGTGTTTTCCCCTGCTGTCTCTCTGCTGTCACTTTCTCTCGGCTGTCACTTTCTCTCCACAGCCTCCCCACTACTATCTATCTATCTATCTATCTATCCATCCATCCATCTATTATTTAAAGGAAAAAGTCATTTTAAAGAAAATAGATCCTGTGGGAATGATAATTTATAACACCTGATAATCTAGACATTGCCATATTTTATCAAGAGGTTTACATTTCCTGTAATCCTGCTTTGAATGGTATCATTCCTTAAATAAGCAAGTAAACATTAGTAAATAAAATTGTGTTAACATTGCTCATTAGCTTATATGTGATATATATAGAGAGTATATGATATATATGTGTATATATATATATGTGTATATATATTTTTCCTTTCTTTCCACTGCAGAGAAACCATTGTATATCCCTGGAAACATTTATTTCTATTTAAATGTGCTTTAAAATGCAACTAAGTAAAAAGACAGAACTTTTTAAGAAGAAAGCTTAATATAAATCTAGCCAGACTAGATTTATATTCAAAGTCACTTTTTGGTTCAAATTAACTTCTACTCAGTGGTTTTCAAACTGTGTTTGGAGACAGAGATGCTCCCACAGTTGATTCAGTCACAGCTACTCACTCTTGTTGGTTTTATACATTGGGATTCCCCTTAGGACTTCACTTAACAAAATGTTCTATTTCAACTAAACAGCTTGAAAATTCCACTTTTACACCAACAGCGAGTTCCCCAGGAGTCAGAAGGAAATGGTGTATTGGATGTTACGGTAACAACATTTTTCTGATTGTGAGGAAACATCTTAGAAATTGGCATGTAACTTTTTTTTAAAGTGGTTTTTCAATGAAAATGTAAAAGATGCAAAAATTTTGGATATAGTAAGAGGGACTCCTTTTTGGGAAATTAATAGGAATTCATGGACATATATCAAATTTTACTTCTGTGAAATTTCAGTACTCCAGAGCTAATTAGGTATACTGAACAGAAATATTAACAATTCCTTTCAGGTAAGCTGGAGCGTGCATTTCAATGCCACTGGTGCCATGTGCCTCTGAGTTCGGAAGCTGGTTCGGTAGCTGGAACAGCCCACCCCAGTGGAAATTCTACACAGGGCAAAATCTGCACTTGTTTCGATGGGAAAAAGGGAAAAGTCCCTTTAAAGAAAGTTGGTCCTATGGGAATGATAATTTATAACAGCTGATAATTAATCTAGACATCACCATATTTTATCTTGATGTTTATATTTCTTCTAATCCTGCTTTGAATTGTATCATTCCTTAAGTAAGCAAGTAAATGTTAGTAAATAAAATTGTGATCATTGATCATTAGCTTAATACATAGTTTCCCTTTTTTTAAAAAAAAAAAAAAACAATTTATTGGACCATGTGCTCAATGTCTACAGGCCCAATCCTCCACAGCTAGGAACAGCCATGGTAATTGGATAATTGACTTATATTGCCAGAAACCAAGACATCAATATTTACTAGTTAGCAACTAGCTGAGTCACAGCTATCCCACGAGCCTCTAAGAGGTGATAAACCACCAGTGAGTCCTCCTCTCACAGTTAGCTTTTTGGACTTACTCTCTCCTCAAAGTGGATGGTAGAGAAAAGGTACCCAGAGGGCTTTATGATTACCTGACCTGACATTCTCTGCCAAAGGTTTTCCTGGTAGCCCTTTTAGGTTCTCTTGTGAAATCTAAACACAGGGATGTTTCTTTCTTTTGAAGTAAAGGTCTCTTAACATAGCAGTCCTTCCAGTAAGCACAAGAAAAGATTGGCTGTCTGAGTTTTAAATTAAATGAAGCTAACCAGGAATGAGACAACAGGAACAGTAACAGAATTTTGGTGCAATGGAAGATACAACATAATGGGCTTGTCAAGCCTTTCCTACCCACAGTGTGACTTTTAAAATGTCCATACTGGCATCACTTGGGAATCTGTTAAAAATGTAGAATCCAAGGCCCAACCCTCAGGCCTACCCAACCAGAATCTGCACTTTGACAAGATTCCCAGGATGGCAGTTTAAAAATATAGGCCCAAAGTCCTTGATCCTCTCTCATTGAGAGGTGATGGGCTCTATGTCCCTCCCCTTGAATCTAGGCAGGCTTGTGACTGTTTGACTAATAGTGTGTGGCAGAAATGACCCAGGATGACTTCTGAGCATAGGACAGAAAAGGTCGTGCAGCTTTCTCCTGATTCTCTTGAGATGCTAACTTTGGGAGAAGCCAGCCGCCATTTAAGACTTCCAAGTGCTCTGAGATACCCATGAAGACACTGTGGCCAACAGCCCCAGCTAAGCCCAGACTTCCTGCTATTCTTGCTAGATTGTCAGGCATATGAATGAAGCCACCCTGTGCCCTCAAGACCAGCTATCTGCCAGCTGAATACCAACAAGTGACTCCAGCTCATGCCACATGGAACAGAAGAATCAACTAGTTAAAACCATGCCTGAATTTTGTAACTATGGCATTTATGAGATATAATACAATGGTTGTTGCTTTAAACCACTAAATTTTGGGGATAGTTTGTTAGGCAGCAAGCTAACTGTAGGCCCAGTAAAATGTGAAAGCACTGGACAAAACAGCAATAATCAATCATTCAGGGAGGCATTGAGAAAAGTCCACAGAGTAGTCAAAATGCTTGGGTGGGTTAAAATATTCCTGATTTCAAGTGAGAATGTTCCTCATTCAGTCTTTCTCTTCCCTTCTTTACTGTGTAAACCATGGGAAACCTTCTGATAAGAATTTGAAAATTGGCATTTAATAAATATCCAATTTGCCAGGTGTTGAGCTAAGCGCTGTGCTGTGTTATATCAGCTAATCTTCATAAAAACCTTTTGAGCTAGGTATAATGATTCCCATGTTGTAAATGATGGAACTGAGGCCAAAAGGGGTGATATAACTTGTGCAAAGTGAACTTCTGGAAGTTAAATATAGGTCTGTCTTACTTGAGTGTCTCTTTCACCCGGGTTTTGATGGCATGAGACTGAGATGCACTTGACCACAGTCCTGACAAGGTAGTGTTAGCTAAGGGCAATCTTCCTTCTTTCTCTTCCCTTGTGGGAGGAAGTGGACATGGCTGGGGCCATAGGCCTGAGTTTTGAGTTACATCTCTTTTTCTGTTTAGTCTCTTATAAAAGGGCTAACAAAGATGAAGGTACAGGCAAATAGATAGGTATAGGGCCAGGGTACTACACATGCATGATGGATTATTCTTAGTTAACTGGCTGAAATGTACACTTGACTTTTCAACAACCCCTGCACAGTTGACCCTTTACACAGTCAAAAATCCAAGTAGAACATTTGACTTCCCAAAAACATAACTACTATTATGATTAACCACTAATAGCATACTGTTGACTGAAAGTCTTACTGATAACATAAACAGTCAGTTAACACATACTTTGCATATTATGTGTATTTTATACTGTGTTCTTACAATAAAATAAGCCAGAGGAAAGGAAATGTTATTAACACAACTATAAAAAAGAGAAAATACGTTTACTATTTATTAAGTGGAAGTGGATCATTACAAAGGTCTTCATTATCTTCAAGTTGAGTAGGCTGAGGAGGAGGAGGAAAAGGGTGGGTTGGTCTTGCTATCTCAGAGGTGGCAGGAGCAGAAGAGGTGGAGGAGGTGGAAGAGAAGGCAGGAGAGGCAGGCATATATGGTGTAACTTTATGGAAATACCTAGTAATTTCTGTCTGACTTTTTTGCTTTCTCATTTCTCTAAAAATGTTTCTATACAATATCAATTCTTCTTCCACCATGTACTTTAGTTTCAGCACCCTCATAGAAGGATACATGTTGCAAAAGAAGTAAAAAGTAGTTTTGAGTAATTAGAACCCTTTTTCTGGATTGTCTACTGTCAATTTGTTTTCTGGAACTGCTTCTTCTGTGTCTTCCTCCTCATCATCTGGCACTGGTTTGGAGGCACTCATCTCCATCAAGTCATTTTCTGTTAATTCCTTTGGTGTGGTTTCTATTAGCTCTTGAACTTCTCCAACACCCATATCTTGAAAGCATTCATTCTCCACCCTTTTTTTTTTTTTGCCATATCCATAATCTCTTTCATGATTTCCTTGATTGTCATAAATCCTGCAAAGTCATATACAAAACCTGGGCATGGTTTTCTCAAGCAGGAATTGATTGTTTTGGGCTTGATGACTTTCACAACGTTTTCTATAACAACAGTGGCATATTCAATGGTGTAATCCTTTCAGACTTTCGTGATGTTCTGTTTGTTGGGGTTCTCTTCCACAGCATTGACAATCCTTTCCATAGAGTATCATGTGTAATGAGCCTTAAAGGTCCTTGTGACCCCCTGATCTAGAGGCTGAACTACAGACATTGTGTTTGGAGGCAAGTAGAATACTTCAGTGCCTTCATTGTTGAACTTACAGGTTTCTGGGCAACAAGGGGCATTATCCAATATCAAAATAACTTTAAAGGGTAGTCCCTTACTAGCAAGGTACTTCCTGATTTTAGAGACAAAGCATTAAGGACACCAATCCAGAAAAAGGGTCTCAGCATCTAGGCCTTCTTGTATAACTCCAAACCTGTCGCTTTTCTCTTCAAGGTTTAGGAGTTAGCAGCTGTATTGATAAGTCCTGATCATAAACCCATCTGCATTTGCACAAAATGGTAGAGTTAGCCTATCCCTTCCTCCCTTGAATCATGGTGCTCACTTCTGTTCGTTACTCATAAATGTGCTTTGTGGCCATTTCTTTTCTGAGTAGGGTACTTTAATCTGCATTAAAAATCTATTCAGGCAGATATCCTTTCTCCTAGATAATTTTCTTCATGGCATCTAAAACTCTTCTGTTGTCTCTTGGTCAGCAGAAGCTGCTTCCCTGTTATCTTGACATTTTTATAACCCAAACTTTTTCTTAAAATTATCAAACCATCCTTTGCTGACATTACCTTCTCCAGTTTTAGATCCTTCACCTTCCTTTTGCTCTAAGTTGTTACATAATAACTTGGCTTTTTCTCAAATCACATTAGACTCTATAGGTATGGCTTTCTTATAACAATCCTGCATTCATATAAAAGCTTTATTTTCAATCTGACATAAAAACGTATTTACCCCAAAGTGCAAGGTTTTTATGCCTGCAGGTGTAGCCACAGCAATGGCTTCACATTTTTTTTTTTACAATGGTCTTTATGCTGGATTCATTTATCTTGAAATGGCTGGCAGCTGCAGACCTCAATCTATGGCACATATCAAGCAATTCATCTTTTTCTTGTAACGTCATGACTTTTCTCTGCTTCTTGGGAGCAGTTCCAGCATCACTACTGTCACTTTGTATGGGTCCCATGGTGTTATTAAAGGTTTACAGTATTGCACTAAACATGATGAATAATATGTGAGAACTATGAGAGATCACATTTTACTATGATATGAAATTTACTGGAGAGAAAACTACTCATGTTTTTTTTAACATGAAGATTTTAAACAGATTCAACACTTGACCTCTTGCAATAGTAACAGGTGGTTATGAAACTATTACAGTAGTACAGTATTAACTAAAATTAATTTCATAGTTATGATTTAATGCTGCATCTTTACATTTGTTCACATTTCTCTCAATTATGAACAATGCCATGTACAGTCTGTGTTTGTGTGCACAATAAGTTTTAATACATTTTAACTTATAGATTTGTGTATGTTTTATGGTAGTAAATGATAAAATAGACTAGTATCTACATATATTTTATGATTCATAACATACATAACTTTTTCTTATTTTTTGATATTTCCAGGCTATGTACTATATCTGTGAGTTTTCTCAAACTGTCACAAATCTCCAAAAAATTTTCCAATATATTTATTGAAAAAAATTCACATGTAAGTGGACCCGTGCGGTCCAAACTCCTGTTGTTCAAAGGTTATCCATATTTAATTGGCATATGAGAAAATTCCATCTTACTCTTCAAGGAGTGAGCAGGTCTGAGCCTAGTTTTTACCCCACTGAATCTGAGTTAGTTGGCTTCTCTGTATTCATCTCTTGGGAAAAGAACATGTTTCAATTCAGCATTCTTTACTGAGGGCCCCTGTGAGCCTGGTGTTATGCTAGACACAGTTGGGGAGATACAGTGGTAGACAAGTCACAGCACCCATCCTCAGAAATTCATCATCATGCACCAAGGAATATCACAGGGCAGAGGCCAGAGGATGGAGAGTCTGGGAAGGTTTTCTGGTGAAGATGGCCTAAACCTGGGCCTTGAAGGAATTCACTGAAAATAAATGAGCTTAACAGCATTAAGGCAGTAGGATACTTAAAGGAAAAACCTAGAATAAGGAAAAGACCAGGTTGGGGAATGGCTGGCAGACCTCAGTAGCTGGAGTTAGCACAGGCTTGGTTGCTGGATAACCATTGTTTTGACCTGCCTAACAGGGAAGTAAGGGATTCTTTAATGCTGTACTTCTTTTCTTTTCTTTTCCTTTCCTTTCCTCTTTTCTTTTTCTTTTTCTTTTTTTCTTTTACCTTCCCTTCCCTTCCTTTCTTCCTTCCTCCTTCCTCTCTCCCTTCCTCTCTCTGTCGTCTCTCTCTCTCACCCTCTGCTCCCTTCCTTCCTTCCTTCATGAAAAAATTCTCTATCAATATAAACATTAAGCTTATTTGCACTTCCGTTTATGACCAAGGAAAAACATTAGAGTAATAGGTAGAGTGACCAGCTTTAGCAAATAAAAATACATGATGATCAGTTAAGTTTGAACTTCAGATAATCACATCTGATGTTTACAATATTTGGGATACACATCACTAAAAGTTGTATTTGTTGTTTATCTGAAAGTCAAAATTTAACTGGGTGTCCTGGATTTTATCTGGCAACTTTAGCATTAGGTAAACATAAACAGCCCTTTTGACTTCTCAAGCCAGGTGAAGTGATGCCTCCTTGGTATTATCTAGTTCGTTGTCGTTGTTGTTGCCTGTCTGTCGCCAGGCTGGAGTGCAGTGGCGCAATCTCGGCTCCCTGCAACCTCCGCCTCCCAGGTTCAAGTGATTCTCCTGCCTCAGCCTCCTGAGTAACTGGGACTACAGGTGCGCACCACCACACCCAGCTAATTTTTGTATTTTTATTAGAGACGGGGTTTCACCATGTTGGCCAGGCTGGTCTTGATCTCTTGACCTTGTGATGCACCTGCCTCAGCCTCCGAAAGTGCTGGGATTACAGGCATGAGCCACTGCGCCCAGCCTGGTATTATCTAGTTTTTATAAACAAATTAAGTTTCAATTTAACTCACTGTAATGGTTTATATTGAGACATTATGTTTTGCTTCATAGTTTTTATTATTTCCATTTTTTAGAAAAATGACTTGTTTGCAATTTGTGGCTTGGTTTCTTCTTGTCTGGCTTTATTCTCTTGATTTTAAACTTTCCGGTCTGACAGTCGAGTTCTAGAAGTTGTTCTGCTTCAAATCCCTCGAGATTTGTTTTGAGGGGACATCGATGCTCTCACACCTACAGTCCTTCACAACCTTTTCATGGCCAGCTTAGAAATGATTAAGTTTATTGAGGCAACCTCAGACGGAGTCCCTGTTTGCAGATGGAGGAATTGGGTGGGGGGACTGTGATGTGTGTGTGTGGGTCTTCACTGAGCTGCTGAAGGGCTGAGGGTCAGATCAGAAGGGCAGAGCCAAAAAAGTCACACCCCATTCTGCAGGCTCCTTTGGCCTTCTGAACTGAGGAAGCTCTAGTTGTTTCTCCCTCCAATCTGCTGGGAGTAGAAACTACAGAAAATTTGAGGTTTAAAATGAGGGAAAATGGGGGAGTACAGGTAATGAAAGTAATAATGAGAAAATAATTCATTTTCACTTGGAAAAGGTGAAGAGGATCATTTTGACTTGGAAAAGATGAAGAGGGTGGGGGATTGGGAAAAGTTTCATGGAGGAAGAGGCATTTCAGCTGAGCCTTAAAACAGCTGGGTAGAACTTTTGCCCCATTCTTGCCTGTGAAATTTCCTTTCCTCTCCCAGTTCTACCTCATTACTTTGTAAAGAGTTTAAAGCCCACGCAGGAGGCGGGGAGACAGCCAGCAGCCTGTTGTGTCTGGACAAGCTGGCAGGAGGGCCCGCCCCACAAGTACAAAAGTTTGCCATGCCTGACAATGCCACCATGCCCTTTGCTCCAAAGTCAGAACAATTAAGCCCCATCTATCTTTCTTGCATCCTGGAAGACACAGAAATGCTCCTCTCTGAAATTTGATAAAAGCACCAACCTGCCAATCAGAAGAGGGAAGATCATAATTAATGATAATAGCCTGGTTTTAATTATAGCTATTTAGCAAGTTAGCAGAACAATACCAGTAAAACAGCTCTACACTGAGTGGGTCGGGAGCAGCCTGCTGCTTCCTTCAGCGTTCACTTAGTGGCCCTGGAACTTTGCAAGGCTCAGCTCTTTGGAAATGGAGGGATTGGAAATGAGGGCAAAGCAGCCTGCATTCCTCTTTCTCCAGGAAGAGATTTCTACCTTTCTCTGTTCCATACAATTTGCAGGTGCATCTAGCATGAGCTGGTTGTCCGTGAGACTACACAGTTGAAGACGGACCTACGTTCTGTTGGAGTAGAGGCAAGAGCTCAGAAATGCATATTACAGTGAGGCCCCTTAGTTGAACTGTCCACCCTTGGCTCCTTTCTCTGTCCGGGGCCAGATCTAGACTACTAAAAAGTTAACTCTGGAAGGAAATTTAGAGACCCTTTAATCCAGAGAGCTTCAAAATTTTAAAGGCCAGAAAAGCAGCTCTAACTGAAGAGGAAGAATGAGAAAGTGGCCACAAAACCTTGCTTCCAGCCTCCATCTTGCCAATGGCTATAGCCCCATGGTTGCTCCATGAAACACTTAGGATTCCTTAAAGAAGCAATTTTTCAGGCTCACTTTTATGGCATGGGTACTAGAAGAAATGTGGCTTTCCCATAACCAAGCACATAGATATTGTGAGAATTAAAACCCAGATCTCCCCTTTCCTCCGAGGCGTGTGTGTTTATGATATCCCACTTGGGCTATTCTTTCAGCACTGAAAATCCAAATATACCTAGCCATAGATCCCTGGGGACTTATAAAGTAGGAGCTTAAGTGGGGGTGGGTGACAGCCACTAAGTCAATGGCTTTTAATTTGGTCCAAAGTGGGGAGTCCATAGCTTTCATCAGCTTTTCAGCAGGATCTGTGACCCCCCAACATTTAAAACCACTGCCCTGAGGTTACTCAGCAACTCAGCCAAGGGCTCTGATACACCCCGACTTCCTGCTTCCTTCTGAGGTCAGACCATCACCCCATTCCTGCCCTGGGGTACATCTGCCTGGCCAGCTGGTTTTTCCTACTTCACAGCTAATTCTGATATGACCAGGACCCAATCAAGATAGAAGCTGATAGGCAACAAAGGTATGGAGCAGGATGGAGAGGAGACTGCCTCCCAAGGCAGCCAGGGGAAGATTTTCTCTGAGAGATGATAAAGTGGCCTTGTCATTAATGAGGCAGACATCTCTCCAAGGATGGGTCTGCAGAAAAGATGGCATTTCCCAAATCCCCTTTCTGACAAGACAGCAGCCTCTAACAGATGAAGAGGAAATCTGTAGTATGGAGCTTCTTGGATCTGCTTTAAATCTGCCATGGGACATTGGCAGTTGGAGAAAATCATCTCAGGTGATAAAGAGTTGGATTAGCATCAGATGACTGTGAAGTAATAATTTGTCCCTTTGAAATAATTCAGGCGGCCTTTCTTTTCTTTGACAGATTCAGGTCCATGAAGTTTCGGCCTTGTTAGTTATCAGATTTACAGGA
Source organism: Homo sapiens (assembly GCF_000001405.40). Taxonomy (NCBI): domain Eukaryota; kingdom Metazoa; phylum Chordata; class Mammalia; order Primates; family Hominidae; genus Homo; species Homo sapiens. The sequence continues at coordinate 29,879,832 of NC_000002.12, read as the reverse complement.
AACCTACTGACTGCTTCTTACCAAAGGGAAGAGAAGTTTTTCCCTAAAAGAAAAGCATTCTTTTGGGATGAATGACCTAGCATTCATCCTTTCTCTTCCCTTTCATAAGTGGGCACGTCCTCTTTGTTTCTTAGGAACAATCACTCTGTCACTTTGGGGAGAAAAGGATAGAATAAGTACCCCATTGTTTGAGTCAAGCTGAATGAACCATTATCTTAAACGTGAGTCCTTCAGACCCTACTTTCCCATGCTGTCAGTCTCCTAGGACATGAGTGGACAGTGGGATTTGTTTGGGAGGTGTCTGATGCCTAAAGAGCTGGAGCAGAATAGTTTAAAACAGGTTGCCATAGACAGTCATTGATGAGATAAGGAGCTTGCACAAGGATGTAAATCACCTTCATCACTAAGTTTACAAGTTAGTTCAGTTGACACTTTTTTTCCTTGCAAGACCTTTTTGATGGAGGAAGCAGTGTGTTGCTGCATGCATAGTTGCACACTGCTTACCTGATCAACCACAAGCACTTTGGTTTAAAATAAGAGTATTTCCTTGTAAGCTGTTTTGTCTAAAGTTTGGAAGTTTTCCAAGCCAAATTCTTTTAGAATCCAAGAAAACTGCTTGGGGGAGGGATTCTCATTCTCTGGGTCAGGATCGTGTGTCCTGGGCTGCCATGCAGGCATAGGCTATGTGTGGACAGTAGCCCTTTAGTACCACGCAGGGGTGGGTCATATATCCTGGTTCACTGAGTTCAAAGGATCTTGTGTCTTTGGAGTCAAAGAATGCTGGGTAGAATTGACTTCTGCTGACTGACACTCCCTGGCATCAGTCCTGTTTCTTGCCTGCATACTGTGTGGGTTTTCTGCTTCGACTTTAGCCAACTAGACTACTATGTTTCTCTGCAGCATTTTGCCCTGGATTCTCTCCCTACTCCATCTACCAGCCTCACCTTCTCAACTCTGGATTCCTGGCCAGCACTGTCCCCTGATTTTACTTTCCTCTTAGACCTAGTAACCCTGTATCCCACATATCTGTCAACTACAATGCTTTCCAGCTCCCCACCCAGCTCTCTGCTGTGTCTACTGTCACTGCACTGGCTGAACCTCCATTCCTTAGAGTCCTCCTTGCTCCATAATCTCATGAGATGACAGTTCCTTTATCATAGTAATTGGCAACTTGTTTATCCTCCAAGGAAGACTGGAAATTTCTAAGCCCCAATAGTGACCTCGACCTACTAGTAACATCCAGGTCTGAGCTAGGGGAAGTTGTTTTAAAATGCCTCAACAGGACCTTTCAGCATATTTGCCTAGGAATGATGGCTAAAAGAACAAAACTTAGGCTTGGGATTAAATATGGACCTTACAATTTACCAGTTGTTAGATCTCAGGCAAGTCATGTGAGCCTCAGTTTCTCAATCTATAAAATACAAATGACTGCAGGAATGTTGTGAGAGTAATAGAGGCAGTGAACAGTGTACTTAATACAGGCTTGGCTTATAATAGTTTTCGTTATTTTCAATCAACCTCCTAGAGACCTAATTTCCCAAAGGCTTATAACTTTTTCTCTCGATTTCTGTGCCTCTTGCCCTTCCTCGGTGGGTAGAATACTGCAGCTCCACACTAATATTTCTTGGAGGCAATCAAATCCCTTTACAAATGGTAAACAGGTGGCTTCTTGCTAAACAAAAAGCTGTGTACTTGATTGATCCTGCAATCCAACAAAATGAAGGAGGTAGCTTTTTATCTTGTACAATGGATGAAAAGCCATTCTTATCAAACAATGTTCTACTCAGCTTTTCTCCCAAGTTGGGGTGGATGGGATAATGCCCTCTACAGATTATGGTAAACAGGTGGGCCCACTACCCTATAATCTGGTAGTCATGTCTCTCTTCTGGGTCTGGGAAGGAAGCCAGAATCCTAGGGTTGGGCAGAGGGAATAGGAGGTTTCCTGCCTTTGCTTTACTGGGAACCATATGGCAGCCAGTCATTCCATGGGGAAAAGCAGCCTCCTGGATTCTCCCCTAGGAGCCAGGAGGCAACCACAAGGAGCAGCGCTTTTGCCTTGAAGACCTGACTCCGAAAGTACAGGTAGGCAGAGCAGAGCCAGCGTGTGGGAGGGGTGTGGGAGTGGGGTCGTCACCCATGATATGCTGCTACGTCTGTGAAATTCTGAGCCAATGAGATAGTTGGTGGACTGAGGCCTCATGAATTCATTCAGTTAAACAATGAACTGACTTACCCACTGAATGAATGAATGAATGAATGATTACTTAATACCTACTATGTGATAGGCATGGTCTAGGCGCTAGGGATACAGCAGTGAACCAAACAGAAAAAAGTTTCTGCTGTCATGGTGTTTATATTCCAGAGGAGAGAACAGACAATAAGCCAAAAAATACATGCTGGTAAGGGTCAGGGAGAAAATGAAGCCTGGGAAGGGACAGACAGTGATAGGACAGTGGTGCTCATTTACATAGGATGGACAGGGAAGGCCTCTATGACAAGCTGGTGTTAGACCAAGAATGGGAATGGCATGAGAGACAGAGCCATGAGGATATCTGGAGGAAGAGCACTTAAGGCAGAGGAAACAGCAAGTACAAAAAGTCTGAGGTGTGAGTGTATTTTGGCTCACATCAGCCTCCAACTTAACTTATAAACAGGCAAAAAGAAGTTATATATTTATGTTTATTTTTGATATGCAAATGTGATACCACAAGAGTCAAAGGAGACACTGATCCTTAAGAAAATTACTTCGTTGAACCTCTGATAATGTAAATATGTTGGATTGGATTAGCTCTAAGCTCTCTTCCAGTTTGGAGGGTCTGATTTTTACTATGAGTCCTGGGAGGTTAGATATTTCAGGGAGAAGTCAGGACCAAGGAAGCTAAGAAAGATGGAAGGATGGACAAGAAAAAACTGGTGGGACAGGGCCTGAGAGCTGGTTCAATGCAAAGGTGGGATCTACAAACACAGAGCATTCTAAAGGGAGAAAGGATCATTATTGTCATCTTCACCTTCATTATCATCCCCAACACCACCATCATCATTATCACCACCATCATCACCATCATCATCACCATCACCACCATCATCATTACCATCACCACCATCATCATCACCATCACCACCATCACCATCACTACCATCACCATATCACCATCGTTACCATCATCACCACCATCGCCGTCACCATCATCACCATCACCGCCATCACCACCATCAGCATTATTGCCATCACCATTACCATTACCACCATCACCACCACCATCAGCATCATCATTACCATCACCACCATTACCACTACCATCACCATCACCATCATCATTACCATTACCACCATTACCACTACCATCACCATCACCACCATCATCACAATTGCCATCACCATCATCCTCACCACTACCATCACCATCACCACACCACATCACCATCACCACCATCATCACCATCATCATTATCACTATCACCACCATCACCACCATTACCACTACCATCACCATCACCACCACCACCACCATCACCATCACCACCACTGTCATCACCACTGTCATCATTACCATCACTGCTAACATTTAATGAGTTTATCATGTGCCAGACATTGGACTAAGCATCTTTTGTATTATTTCCTTTAATCCTGACAACAATAGTATGCAGTTGAGAGTATTATCCCCATTTTATGTATGAGAAAACTGAGAATCAGAAACATAAAGTAAGCTGCCCATGGCCATAGAACTGGCAAAGGCAGGGTAGATAACAGAATATAATCTCAACACACACACATATTGCTAGGCAGTGCCCGTAGTCCAGAGTGAGGATGAAGCAGAGAAAAACAGACAAGGGTGGGGAGGGCCAGGGAAACCAGAAACACCATTTGACTCAGCAATCCCATTACTGGGTAGATACCCAAAGGATTATAAATCATTCTACTCTAAAAGCACATGTACATGTATGTTTCTTGCAGCACTATTTACAATAGCAAAGACTTGGAACCAATAAAAATGCCCATCAATGATAGACTGGATAAAGAAAATGTGGCACATACACACCATGGAATACTATGCAGCCATAAAAAAATGAGTTCATGTCTTTTGCAGGGACATGGATAAAGCTGGGAACCATCATTCTCAGCAAGCTAACACAGCAACAGAAAACCAAACACCACATGTTCTCACTCATAAGTGGGAATTGAACAACGAGAACACATGGACACAGTGGGAGGAACATCACACGCCGGGGCCTGTCGGGGGTAGGGGACAAGGAGAGGGAGAGCATTAGGAGAAATACCTAATGCATGCAGGGCTTAAAACCTAGATGATGGGTTGATAGGTGCAGCAAACCACCGTGGCACAGGTATACCTATATAACAAACCTGCACATTCAGCACATGTATCCCAGAACTTAAAGTAAAATGTAAAAAAATAGTAATGGTAAAAAAAGAAATATTTTATTGTGGTAAGTGTACAATTGAGTGACATTAAGTCCATTTACAATGTTGTGCCACCCTCACCATTATCCATTTCTAGAACTTGTTCATCATCTTTAATAGAAACTCTGTACTCATTAAGCAATGACTCCCCATTCCCCCACCCTAGTAACCTCTAGTCTACTTTCTGTCTCTATTTATTTGCATGTATCAGAATTTCATTCTTTTCTGAGGCTTGAATGATATTCCATTGTATAAATATACCACATTTTGTTTGTTCTTTCATCTATTGATGGTCATTTGGGTTATTTCTACCTTTTGACTATTGTGAATAATTCTATGAACATTGGTTTATAGGTATCTGAGCCTTTGCTTTCAATTCTTTTGAGTGTGTACCTAGGAGTGGAATTGCCGGATCACATGCTAATTCTATATTTAACTTCCTGAGGACCTGCCAAATACAGGAATGTTTTCTAAAGCTCTTTAGGTGATTCTAATGTGCAGTCAGGCCAGAAGAGCTGAGTACAGGTAGGGACTGATAAGGAAGTTCACTTGATGAGCAGGGGGAAGGTGGGCACTAGGAATAAAGACGTATCTTGGTGTGAAGTCCAAGGTGTTTGTATCTGTGCCTCCAATGTCATTTACAAAGGCCCCTCTGATATGGGAATTACTACCCTTTGAATCAAGAATCCACTCTTGTCTCCCCTGTTGCTTTCTTGTGGGATTTTCTGAAAATGATTTTCCCATGTATATTTCTATGCAAACTTGTCTCATGCTTGCTTTCCTTCTCTCTTCCTGGCATATTGAGAAATGACATTGGTAATTTGGAGACAAAATCCCCAAAGAGCTTGAACAACATCAGTAGTATTTCATCTAGGTGCATGTGGGCCGGGAGGTCCTGTCCAAGGCATAGTAACTGCTTTAGGTAAGGGTTCCAGCACTAGCCCTGACTTAAATTGTCCAAATTTTCATGTTGTCTGAGTTCTTCTCAAGAGAGAGGAAAACATCTGATCTGGCTTATCTGATATTTCACTGAGTGTCTTTGGGTTTAGCTTGTCATTGCCAAGGTTTATTTCAACTATGTCAGCCTTTGTCACACGAACACAGCACTTTTCGTACTGGGCTTGAGTTGACAGTCATCAAACATTGCTTGGTCCTGGGTGGCGGGGGTGGGGTGGGGACCAGAGAAGAAAGCCATAGAGAAGGGAATAATCTCACCATTTTTTGAAGTCACAAGAACAGTCATACCAACAAGTGCTTCTGTATGCATAAATCCTTGAGCAATGGTACAAGAGAATTTGTCCATACATTCCAGTGCATTGCTATATTTGGTCAGTAGTTAATGGGTGCTTTGATGGTGGAGCAATTCCTGCTTAGGGTTGGGGAGGTCATTGTAAGGAGGATCCTTTATGGAACCGGTATTTCTTCCACTGCTAAATTTGGGTTCTGCTGAAAGAAAGTGCTTCCAGTACAAACCAGGTTCCCATGGAATCTGCTTTATTGTCCAGAGGCTACTGCTTTGTTGGGGACATTAAAAGCGATTTTGATGCCCAGAGTGGAGGTGATTATCAGGCGGTTATTGCTACCCAGTCATTATCACTGCTATCCTGGGTAATGATGTTCTGCTTGTCTTGGTGGCATTTTCATATCAGAGGAACTCAGGAAGGGTGAGTTCAGCTCCATGGGCCCCTGCTTTGCCCAGGAAGAGGCCACGATGAGGCATCTGCTTCTTCCTGTCTGGCTTCGTTTAAGACTGACTTTGACTCCAGATGCTCAATTCTCTTCCTAGAATTTGGCTTTAGGCACCTTCTGGATTCTGTCTCTGGGCATATTTCTAGCATCTTGGTTTGCTCCACTGATTTTAGTTGTCCCTTATACTTCCCATCTCTGACTTGGAACAAACCCTTGAGCACAGTCCTCATCACTGTCCCCCATCACCATTCCAGGTTTCCCATTCTCAGTGCCTGCACCTGACAAATGCCAGCACTCTGGTTCTGCCCCAGCTTCTGTTGCTCCAGTGGCATGTGCTGACCTGGCTTCAGAAGCTCTCTGGGTCCCAGCACACATCTTTTCTGCAGCCGCTTCCTCCACCCCCTACAAATGTCATTCTGGCTCTGGATATGGTATTTGGGAGTATTGAGGAGAAGAGGCATCTGAAATCAAGCCACCAAATTCTAGACTTTTTATCATTAATCATGAGAAATGACACTTGGATCTCTTGCCTGTTTGAGATGGGAGCCCATAGCACTGAGCTGTCACTTTGATAAAACATCTGTCAGTGGTTGGAGCCACAGCCCAGGGTGGATACCACCAGTGCCCCTGACTCCTGGAGGGAGTGTGGCTGGAGATACAGTCAGCTGAGGAGCTCACACTGTCTAAGACACTTTCAAAGAAGCCTTTGGGAATTCCCTGGAACTCTTCCGAGGAGAGATGTTGTGTGTCTCTTAAACCACTTGCTTTTTGACTTGCAAATGTTGCAGTCCAACAAGTTCTTCTGAATGCACACATCTTTGGGCAGTGGGACAGAGGATTTGTCTGTACATTCCTTTGCCCAACTTGAAAGTGAAGAGAGCTACTTTTGGGCAGATCTATGGCAGAGATTAGAAAATTGAAATTTAAAGAAACATAGTTATAAGAGACCTTAGTGATTATAGAGGGTCACTGACTTACAGTAGGTTGACTTATGATTTTTCGACTTTATAATAATGCAAAAGTGATACGTAGTCAGTAGAAACTGTACTTCAAAATTTGAATTTTGAAATTTTCCTGGGCCAATGATATGCAGTATGATACCCTTTTGCAATGCTGGGCAGCAGCAGCGAACAAAGGCTTCCAGTCAGCCACACAACCATGAGGATAAACAACAGTCTATGGTATACTGTCCTGCCAGGTGATTTTCCCCAACTGTGGGCTAATGTAAGTGTTCTGAGCACATTTAAGGTAGCCTAGGCTAACCTATGATGTTGTATTAAATGCACTTTTGACTTACAATATTTTCAATTACTCTGGGTTTATCAGGACATAACCCCACTGTAAGCTGAGGAACGTCTGTATCTAGTTTAACTACCTGTTTTGTCTGCTCACCAAGTGAGGAAATTGAGGCTTGGAAGGATTTCAGGATGTCCTTAATATCATGCTCTCTGCAGTTCAGCTGCATCCCCTCCCCTGCTCTGTACTTAAATTCCTTGACTCCCAACACCTTCAATTCTTCTGAATTAAGAATGTTTCAGATACCAGTTCAGTCAACTCCCTGTCATTGTTCAAATATTCTGGGGTCTCCTCTCTGAAAGCCTCTGAGCTTAATCAAAAGGAGAAGCAAGTGGAGAGTGTGAGGTTTCCTGAAGCTTGGATCTGTGGGTCAGTGTGTCCAGCATGCCATGAGATCTATGTCAGCCACGTACTTACTGATACCCAGTCTAGGGCTTGGAGGACAATGGGCTGCCTGGTTTCTTTGGCCAGGAAGGCATGTTAGAAGACCCGCACCTCTATCAGATATGAGTGGTGTCTCTCTCACCTGATCGGGCAGGTAATATAATTGCCCTCAATTTGTGATTGCTTCTTCAAAGCTAATGCCAGGCTTTTATCAGAATTGGTCTAGGATATGCTGTGAACCATCTGTGTGACCTTGGATGAGTCACTTCCTCTCTCTGGACTTCAGTTTTTCTCCTATGTAAAATAAATAGAGCTGCTGATGTCTAATGTATTTTTGTGGGGGAGGGGACTCATGTGATATTAGTAGCAACCACTGTAGAGTGTCCAAAGCTCTTTTTAAGCACATATGTAGTCAAGGCAGGTTTCTTATGGTCAGGAGTAGAATTAGAGCCATTGGTTGAGAGTGGATTCTAGAATCAGAGGTTCTGTTGCTCTTAGATGCTGGGCATGCTCTGATTTGATTTTTCCTTTTCCATGCTGCTTGTGCCTAATGGCCCTAAGCTCCCCACTGCTAAGTGAAGGACCAGCCTTGGACTCCCATCTATGAATGATGAGTGGGCAATAGTGGGAAGAACTATACAGGGAGTGTAGTTGTCAATCCAATGAAGCCTTTCCAGGACATTCCGTCCAGTAGGATTCCAGGGGTCAGTGCAGGATGATTGCATGGCTCTATTATGGCCTAGATAATAGTTGCCCTTGGAGATAACCCGGGAGAGCCTGGATTAGTTTAGACACAAACTTCCTCTAGGTGAAAGGATGCCTTCACTGGTGGTTGGCTGTAGGCTTAATGTCACCAGGGATCTCTCCTCTGCAGTCAGGCATCCTAACCCTTAACGCTTGGCATCTGTCAACTTTCCTAAAGCCAATGGGTTTTATACCAAGGTTCATGCGTGTTGACCAGCCAGACATTTCTGTCCCCACAGGATTGAAAAAGGAACATAAAACACACTCATGCACAAACTGAGGGCTGATGCGTAAAACAGTCCTGGATTCCTCACTTTCCTCCAAAAGAGGTTAGCTAAGCTGCCCTGTGATCCTGCATGACCTTGTGGTTCCTGTGGGCAATGCTCTTTATCAAAGACCTAAAACACTTAATTGTTCCTACTGGAAAACTGAGATCTAAATCTTCATCAGTTTTGCCCTGATTTCTTTTTCTTATTGCCTAAAAAAATGACCAAAACAAAAATGTATGAAGTAGATAAGAAAATTCACAGGTAATCCCTAAGATAACCAACACCATTAGTTTAAGGTACATCTTCTTAGACTTTTTTATTTGTAGAAGCAGATGTATTTTTCATATTTTTATTTATTCAAAATTGTATTACATGTTCCACATCATTAAAAAGTCTTTGTAAGCATGATTTTAATAAATAAATAATATTTTCTAAAATAGATAAATCATAATTTGCTTAACTATTTCTTTAATGGTGGTTGATATGGTTTGGCTCTATGTCCCCACCCCAATCTCACATTGAATTGCAATCCTATATGTTGGAGGAGGGGCCTAGTGGGAGGTGACTGGATCATGGAGCTGACTTCCCCCTTGCTGTTCTCATGATAGTGTGTGAGTTCTTATGAGATCTGGTTTTTTAAAAGTATGTAACACTCTCCCGTTCACACTTTGTCTCCTGCCAGCCATGTGAATTTTTGCCTGCTTCCACTTCACTTTCTGCCACTATTGTAAGTTTCCTGAGGCCTCCTCAGAAGCATTAGCCTGTACAGCCTGCAAAACTATGAGCTTATTAAACCTCTTTTCTTTATAAATTACCCAGTCTCAGGTATGTCTTTATAGCAGTGTGAGAACAGAATTATACAGGGATAATTTACCCTAAATTGTTTCAAGTATTTTTCTTTTGTTTTATTCATTATGATGTGTGTTGTCAAATTAACTCACCAACTTTTAAAAAAATGTATACTTCTACCAGCAATGTATGAGACTACTCAGCTCACAATACACCATTATTATCATTTTGCTATCATAGATGAAGATCATTATTACCTCATTATTATTTTAATTTGAAATTCTTGATAACCATCAGGTTGGATATTTACCATTTGTATTTTCTCATTTAGAATTGTTCTGTTTGTGTCATTTGCACATTAATCAATTAGGATCTTAATGTTTTTGTTTTGCATATTTGTTTGTTTTTGGTATTTGTTCTTTGCTTATAATCTTTGTGGCAGATACAGTTTTTAGTTTATTTTCTTTTAATATTGCATATAATTTTTTGGCATGCAATTCAATCCATTAATATTTTCCTTTGTAATTCCTTTGCTTTTATATTTGGAAAGCCTTTCCCTGCAAGAAGTAAAATATGCCTTTATCCATACTTTCTTCTTCCTCATTATTTGATTTTTTAATATAAAGTTTTTTGATTTATAGCAAGTAGATTTAAGTGTAGGATCTAAATTGATTTTCTTCCATATAGTTAACCAATTGTTCCAGTGTTGATTTTAAAATAATTCGTTCCTTCCTTACTGATTTGTGATGCTTCCTTTAACTTCTATTAAGGTTTGCTTCTGGGCTATTTATTCTTTTCTGCTGATCTCTGTTAGGGGTAATATTGAGACAATTAGATAGTTATTAGGTCAAGGGATATAAAAACACATTGATCTTACCTTAGCCTAACTATCTTCTTTCCTCACAAGATGCCTAAGGAAGGTATATATTCAAGGGACATGCAAATCAAGGTAAATTTTATTATTTAGTTAAGGTAGGGCTCTATATTTTATGTGGCTGTTCCAGTTATCTCTTGTTATATGGTTGCATAGCAAACCACTTGAACTTAGAGGTATAAATCAGCCATTTTATTATGCCCATGGATTATATGGGTCTGGAATTTGAAAAGGGTACAGTGAAAATGTCTTGTTTCTGTTCCACAGAGTCTGAGGAAGACTCAGTAGCTGGGGGTGACTTAATGGCTGGGGGATGGGTGAAAGACGTTTCAAACTCTGTCTCCTGGTCAGCAGTAGCTATCAGCTGGGACCTCAGCTGGGGCTGTCAGCCAGAATACCTGTATGAGGTCTCTGCATGTGGCTTCTTGGGCTTCATCACAACATGGTGGCAGGATTCCAAGAGTAAGGGTGCCAGGAGAACCAGGTAGAAGGTTTACTACCCTTTATATGTTACCTCAGTAGCTATGTAGAATAACTCTGCCACGGTCACAAGTCTGTCCAGATTTAAGATAAGGGAACATCAACCCCACCTCCTGATGGAAGGAATGTCAAAGTCCCATTACAAGGAAAACGTGTGGGATGGGAGACATTTTTGTAGCCGTCTTTGGAGGAAGGTATGATTTGTTAGAGTGAGGAAATTTGGCAAGCTGGATTAGAGCATAAGGCTTAGACTATTTGTCCTGCTTGATGTTCTCTTCCCCTCCCCTAGATATCTATATAGCTCACTGCCTCACTAACCACCTTCTCAGTGAGGTCTCTCCTGACCGACCACTCTATTTAAATTTGACCTTACACACACTCTGAAACTCTTTATTGCTCTTCCTTGCTTTGTTTTTTTCTTCAATTACACTTATCATCTCACATGCAATATAGTTGTCCAGTTTATTATGATATTATTTACTGCCTGTCTTTCCCCTGTAGAATATTATCTTCACAAGTGCAGAATCTTTGTCTGTTCTGTTCATGGATGTCTCCCAAGTGCCTACAATGTGACTAATACATAGTAGGTGCTCAAAATAATTGAACAAATAAATGACTGAATGAAGGGCAGGAGCCCCTTATTCCACTCCTTCTCTTGGCCACCTCCCATCTTGAGGTGCCTTTGGAAGGCCAGAGAGAAAACCAGACCATCTTCTCTCCTTCCTTTTCCTTTTCCTACCTCCTTGCCTTCCAGCTCCAACTCTACAGCCTTTCTGCTCATCACTACCTCTTTCGTGGCCAGCCTTTGCTCTGCTGTAGCCAAAGTAGGGCATGATCTCAAGGCTTTGAGCTTCCCAGATTACACACACCTGTTCCTGCCACCTTGCTCTCCACCCGATTATGCAGGGTCCATGTCTTCTGTATGTAACCTTCCAATGGAAATGAGGTCACTGCTGTCTGAGCAGCTGCCCACTCCTCCCATCCCCAACTGTGTCTGTAGTCATCTTGCTGCAGCACACCCCTCACTCAAGCAAAGCAAGGAGACTTGATCCTCAGAACAACCCTGAGAAGCATGAAGGTCAAATATAGGGGATCCCATTTGCAGATGAGGAAACTGAAGAACCACATAGTCAGCTTGCTGAGGTCATAAAGAATGGCTGCTGGAACAAGGGTGCTCAAGCTTGGAATCCATGAATCTCCATTGAAATGTCACAGTCCCCTTCTGAAAGTGGTGGCTGCATTACCTTGTGGCTCTGGGCCCCTTCTCAGTATCTTTGGGCTTCCATTTCCTCATAAAGGAATTTAAAACACATCCCAAGTTATGAGGCAGTTGTAAGATCTTAAATTGTCAGAGACAAAACGGTCTTGTTGCAACTCACGAATCTGTTGAATACCATGAACACAGCAATAAAATGGCTGAATATCCTTTTGGGACAAGTGAACCTTGTCGTTTGATCAAATTGCCTCCCAGAAATACCATTTTGACTATTTTTAATACAGAAGCAACATACTGAGCAAATGACTATTTTGGTTATGGTTCTTCTACTCTCGCTACCTTCGCCCTGGAGAACATTTAGACAATCTCTTAATGTTTTTTGTTTTTTGTTTTTGTAAGGACTAAACTTCCTTAAAGGGACATGAGGAGACAAAAATAACTTTATTTTGCCATCTTTGACATGCTCACTTGAGCTCTGGGCCTTGATAAAATGGGGACTGTTTTCTAGAAGGTTTCTTTTAAATCTAACATTCTACTGTTGTGCCGTGGAGTGTCTTGCAGAATCTGGAGGGGCTGGAGGCTTTCTTTATGTAAATATATTAATCCTTCCACCCACCCCAGAAGTTGGCATCCAGGGCCAGCTAGATAATAAATTATGCCCTTCAATTATTGAACCAGTGTATGTATTTCAGCCAAAAGGTTAAAACTGGCTTGTTTGTAAGTGGCGAAAAGGACCAGCCATAACACACAGTTCTGATTCTGGTGCACACCACTGTCTGTGAACCACAGATTATAGGGAGGGAACCGAGAGGCCCAGGAGCCTTGCCCACAAGGCTGATGCAGAATTGTGGAGTTTCCAACAGGTGACTTGTGCTCCATGTGGCTCATTTTCAATAGGCCTTTAAGAATTTTCTTTCAGACTCTTCTCTGTTTCAGTATCTCTCAACCCCTTTAATTACGAAGTTCTTTTCATCTTTAACTTTAATTCTTCCTTATGTATGTTCTCATCAGTCACTGCCAGTCTCTGGTAAATCTGCATATCACAGAGATCAGCCTGGGGCTGATATAGCTCCTAAGTATAGCCTGTAAATGGAACTGGAGTTTAGGCTCCTTATTACCATAGAAATTAAAAAACTCTTCCATTCACGTGTAGTTTGGGTTCTTAGACAGGGTCCGCTAAACCCGCCAGCTCTTAGTGGGCTGTAGAGGCTTTGTGCTTGCCCCATGCTGAGCTGGAACCATGCTCTGAAGGGCATCAGATGCTACCAGCTCCCTCTTCTCTGAGCATTGCGTGTCGAGTTGCACCATGCTGCTGTGCAAACATGGATGGGCTGACTGCCCTTCCTTTCAATTCAGTTAATAAATTCAGTGGGAGTGAGTTCAGTTCCTGAGATGTGCTAGAGATGAGAAAGGATGTGGCAGAAGAAGTACCTATCTCTTGAGGGATGAAGTGGCCTCATTTCACCTACTGAGAGTCAGGAAGTGCCCCATCTGCAGCCTCTGGGCTGGTTGGGGTCAGTCTGCAGATTTTCCTTGCTTTCTCCCATGCCCTTGTCTTTCTCTCCCCTGTAGAGAAAGACACTGATGTTGCTGTTGTTCTAGGAACAGTGGGGACAACTGTTAGGTTAGTTAAAAACAAAAACAAAAAACACTGAAGAATCAACTCCCTTCAAGCATGGGCTAGATGCTGAAGATAACATACTGCCCCTATCCCCAGAGACCCTTGCTCCCAGCGACCCTTGGTGTCTGGGAGAGAGACCTTGGGCATCTGGAGACCTGGTTTCAAGTCCTGACTCCTGTCTTACTGGCAATATGATTTTGGACAATAAAAGCCATATCAATAACAATAATAAGTACTTCTGTTTTGGAGTGCTAACTATGTGTCAGGCAGAATGTTAGGTGACTTCCCACATTACCTATTTGAGTAAACTTATCTTTTCAACTTTCAGTTTCCTTGTACTAAACAGACTTTGTCAGCCTAGCTCTTCCTCCAACACAATCCCCAACCGCATACCCCTGTGGACATGGTCCACTGATCTAAGAATGGATTTCTGAGCAAAGATGGACCAATAGTTCTTCACCCTAGACTTTGGGGGCAGGACTGAGTTGTGTTGGGAGAGAGAGAAGGAGAATGTGTATCCATGAGTGTCTGGATGTGCAGATTGTTACATATAAAACTCAGGAGCAGCTGAAAGGCAAAAGAAGCCAATCCACATAGGAGAAACAAATAAAGCTGATTGGCAGAATGGTGAAGACAAAAGAAGGGCTCAGGGTCCTGAGGGCTCCTCAGGCTCAGGCTTCAGTGTGCTCTGGGGACCCAGCTCCTTGCCTGTTCTTGGGCTCTGTGGGACAGCCTATGTCCTAGCAAAATCTTTCCTCCTTAGCTGGAGCTAGTAGGAATTAGGTTTCTAGTCACTGTGATAAAAATCCTAAACACATTTCTTTTGTGAAAAGTGGGGAAGTTGCACAATAGCAGTCCCATGGAGGACACATGCCCAGAGCAGGTCACCTGACGTGGCAAGAAGATCATGGCAATGTTGGGAAGACTTTGTTGAACCAGAACACCCCAACCATAAGCTCTGCTAATTTAACTGTTGGCAGCAGAGTTCTGCTTTAGGCTGATAGGAGCAAAAGCCCATTGAACTCAGTAGCATCAGGCCAGAAAGTGGCTGAGAGGTCTTGGCTGACATCTCTGACACCTCTGATGGATATCAGCCCTGCTTGATCTCCAGTGCCCTTCAGGGGAGAGGGTGGGAGGCGTTTGTCATCACAATGTGACTTGCATGTCTAACTGCTAGTTCTATACATGTCTGGTCTAGGAAAAACACTCCCAGTTCTCCAAACATGGGATGTGTCTTTGCAGACTGCAGACTCTCCCATCATTAGAGGCACCCTGGGACTGGAGGTTCTTTTGGGCATGTGTGGAGTGATCTTTTTCTCCCATTCAATAGATTTAACTCTTCTCTTTTCTTTCCTTTGTCTTCTCTTTCCCCATGATTACATGAGACAATATGTATGAAGAAATACTATGCAAATACATTAACTTACCCATCATTTGTTTATTTGACAAATGTTTGTTGACTATGTGCCAGACACTGTATTAGGATTTATCAACACAGTTGTAAAAGAGAAAGATGTGATTCTTGGTATCATGGAACATGCATTCAAAGGGTAGAAGGAGACAAAAACACTAAGTAGAAAAGTAAAAGCAAAAATTGTATGTTGTGGTGAGTGCTGTAAAGGAAATAAGCAAGTGACAGAAAGAGAAAGGGCCTACTTAGGAAGGCCAGGAGTACTGCTCTGCCAAGACTCAAAAGAGAGGAGGAAGCTGACCATTCAAAAGAAGAGTATTTCAGACATGAGAAGTGGTTTGGGCAAAGACCCGAGGCAGGATAAACTGGCTGTGTTCAAGACAGGGAATAGACTGCTGTGACTGCCCTGTGACAAGTAAAGGGAGGGGTATGTGTACGTAGCCAGGGACAAGAGCACAGACCCTGGAGTCAGACAGTTCTGGATTGAATCCCAGCTCTGCCCAGGTACTAGCTGGATGATCTCAGACAAGCAGGTAACCACTCTGTGCCTCAGTTTTCTAGTCTGAAAAATGGGGACAATAGTACTTATATTTTGGGTTATCATAATTATGAAATAAGATAAAGCATTATGTTAGTCCAAATCCTCTGAGAAGCAGGTGTCAAGATAGGATTAGATGCACGACAGGCTGTTGGGAGAAATGTCTTGAGGGATAAAAGAGGAGAAGCCAGAAAATGTGGGAAAGCCTTCAGACCTCAATGCAGGTCTGACTTATGAAAGAGTAGGGGAAGGTTAATAATACTGCAATCAACATGGGAGTGCAGATATCTCTTTGACGTACTGATTTCGTTTCCCTTGAGTAAATGCCCAGTAGTAGGATTGCTGGATCATATGGTAGATCTATTTTTATATTTTTGAGGAACCCCCATACTAATTTCCATAAATGGCTGTACTAATCTATATTCTTACCAACAGTGTAAGGGTTTCCTTTCCTTCACATCCTCAGCAACACTTGTTATTTATTTATTTATTTTTTGATAATAGCCATTCAAACAGGCATGGGGTGATATCTCATTGTGGTTTTAGTTTGTGTTTCCCTGACGGTTAGTGGATGTGAGCATTTAAAAAAAAATATTCTTATTGGCCATTTGTATATCTTCTTTTGAGAAATACCTTTTCAGGTCATTTGCTCATTTTTAAATTGGGTCATTTTCTTACTATTAAGTTGTTTGAGTACTTTATACGTTTTGGACATTAACCACTTTATACATGTATGGTTTGCAAGTATTTTCTCTCAATCCACAGGCTGTCTCTTCACTGTGTTGATTGTTTCTTTCACTGTGTAGAAGCAGCTTAACTTTTTATTTGATGCCATCTCTTTTGTCTGTTTTTGCTTTTGTTGCCCATGCTTTGGAAGTTATATCCAAGAAAACATTGCCCAAATGAATGTCAAAAAGCTTTTCCTCTATGTTTTCTTCTTGTGGTTTTACAGTTTCAGGTCTTACATTTAAGTCATTAATCCATTTCAAGTTGATTTTTGTATATGGGGCGAGATAAAGATCCAATTTATTCTTCTGCGTATGGATACCCAGTTTTCCCAATGCTCTTTCTTAGACAGACTATCCTTTTCCTCATTGTATGTTCTTGGTACCTTTGTCAAAGATCAATTAACTGGAAATGTGTGGATTTATTTCTGGGCTCTCTTGCTGTTCCATTGCTCTATACATCTGTTTTTGTGCCAGTATGATGTTTTGATTACTAAAGCTTAGTAGTGCATTTTAAAATCAGGTAGTGTGATGCCCCCAGTTTTTTTTTTTCTCAAGATTGCTTTGGCTATTCTGGGTCTTTTCTGGTTCTATATGAATTTTAGGATTGCTTTCTCTATGTCTGTGAAAAAATGTCATTGGAATTTTGATAGGGGTTGCATTGAATCTGTAGATCACTTTGGGTAGTACAGACATTTTAAGAAGACATTCTTCTAATCCATGAATACAGGATATTTTAAAATTTATTTGTGTTTTATTTAATTTCTTTCATCAATGTTTTATAATTTTCAGTGTTCAGATCTTTCACATTTTTGGTTAAATTTATTTGTAGGTTTTTTAATGCTATCATAATAGGGACTTTTTCAGATAGTTCATTATTAGTATATAGAAATGCTCCTGAATTTTGTATGATGATTTCATATGATGAAACTTTATTGAATTTGTTTATTATTTCTAACAGTTCGTTGGTGGAATCTTTAGGGTTTTCATATGTCAGATGATGTCATCTGCAACAGTGTCAATTTAACTTATTTTTTTCCTGTTCAGACCCTTTCCCTTCCCTTTCTTTCACTTCCCTTGCCTTTCTGTTTTTGCCTAAATGCTCTGGCTAGGACTTCCAGTACTACATTGAATAGAAATGGTCAGAGTAGGCATCTTGTCTTGTTCCTGATCTTAAAGGAAAAACGTTCAACTTTTCACCATTGAGTATGATATTGGCTATGGGCTTGTTATAAATAGCTTTTATTGTGTTGAGGTACATTCCTTCTATAATTTGCTGAGGATTTTTATCATTAAAGGATGTTGAATTTTGTCAGTTGTGGATTTTGCATTTATTGATATAATCGTATGATTTTTGTCCTTTATTCTTTTAATGTGGTGTATCATATTGATTGATTTGTGTATTTTGAGCCATCCTTGCATCCGAGGGATTAATCCCACTTGATCGTGGTGAATGATCTTTTAATATGCCATTGAATTCATTTTGCTAGTATTTTGTTGAGGATTTTTGCATCTGTGTTCAAGGATATTGGCTTGCAATTTTCTTTTCTTGTAGTATCCTTGTCTGGCTTCAGTATCAGGGTAATTTTGCCTCATAAAGTGAGTTTGGAAGTATTCCTTCCTCTTCAATTTATTTGGAAGAGTTTGAAAAGGATTAGTATAAGCTCTTCTTTAAATGCTTGGTAGAATTCAACCATGAAACCCTCAACTCCTGGGCTTTTCTTTGATGGGAGATTTTTGATTACTGATTCAATCTTTTTACTCATTATTAATCTGTTAAGATTTTCAATTTCTTTATCATTCAGTCTTGGTATGTTGTATATTTCTAGGAATTTATCCATTTTTCCTAGATTATTCAATTTGTTGCTGTATGATTGTTGATAGTAATCTGTTATGATCTTTTGTATTTCTGTGGTATTAATTGTAATTCTCCTCTTTCATTTTTTATTTTATTTGAGTCTTCTCTTTTTTCATAGTAAAGATCTGTTGATTCTGTTTACCTTTTTAAAATACCAACTCTTAGTTTCATTGATCTTTTCTATTGTTTTTCAAGTATCTGTTTCATTTATTTCTGTTCTGATATTTGTTATTTTCTTCCTTCTGCTAACTTCGGGCTTAGTTTGTTCTTCTATTTTTAGCTCCTTGAGATCTGATGTTAGTTTATTTGAGTGCTTCCTCCTTCTCCTTACCCTCCTCCTTCTTTTTGAGGCAAGGTCTTGTGCTGTCGCTCAGGCTGGAGTGCAATGGTACAATTACAACTCACTGCAGCCTTGACCTCGTGGGCTCGAGTGATCATCCCACCGCAGCCCCCTGAGTAGCTGGGACTACAGGCACATGCCACCATACCCAACCACTTTTTTTATTTTTTTGTAGAGATAGGGTCTTACTATGTTGCCCAGGTTGGTCTCGAACTCCTGGGCTCAAGCAATCCACCTGCCTTGGCCTCCCAAATTACTTTCTTCTTTTTTAATGTAGATATGTATTGCTATAAACTTACCTTTTATAATCGCCTTTGCTGCATCTCATAAGTTTTGGTATGTTGTGTTTTAAATTTTGTCTCAAGATATTTTTAAATTTCCCTTTTGATTTCTCTTTGACTCATTGGTTGTTCAGGAGCATGTTGTGCATATTTATGAGTTTTCTGAAATCTCTCCTATTATTGATCTCTAGTTTCATACCATTGTGGTCAAAAAAGATACTTGATGTGATTTCAGTCTTCTTAAGTTTGTTAAGACTTGTTTTGTGGCATAGCATATGATCTATCCTGGAGAATGTTTTGTGTGCACTTGAGAAGAATGTGTATTCTGCTGCTGTTAGGTGGAATATTCTGTGTATGTCTGTTAGATCCATTTGGTCTAAAGTCTTAGTTTGTGTCCAGTGTTTCCTTATTGATTTTCTGCCTGTGTAATCCAAGAAATCTTGATAATTGCTATTGGTATCTTGTTTTTGTTTTCCTAATTTCTTTTCTGTTTTTTTTTTTTTTTCTCCCTTTCCTTAACTAATCCTTAGTTAGCTACAGGACCTCAGGACATTACCCATCCTCATAGTTGAGCAAGAGACTTCCTAACAAGAGCTAACGTAGGCAGTTGCCATATGGTAGGATTTGAGAGGTACCACAAAAATTGCCCTTTCTTAAACAAACAAACCAATAATCCCATACCTGTGATACTACCAGAAGTTCCATCGTTAAGAATTTCTTCCCCTGGGATAAGCCTCAGACCACAGCTTCCAAGGGGAACATTTTAAGGCCCTAGCCATGTAGGTCTTTGTGTGTCTTATTTGGAAGCACTCAATGTTGCTTAACCCTACCCTCTTGAAATTCTCCCCTTCCCTCTCATGGGCCACTGCTGTTCTGATTCTTGTTTCAACCTTCCTCCCTTTCCTTTTGTCCATGTCTGTATTCTTTGCTGACTCCTTTCTCCCATCCTTTGGGAACCCCAAGGCTCTACTAACACCCTTTCCCTTATAAATCTACTATGACTTCAACCAGGAACATGATTGTCAATCAATATGTCAAATTTTCACATCTTCCGAGCCTCATAGCACATCTCTCAACTTTGCTTTGGTCATTTCCTCCTAGAAGAAGTCTTTCCAGTAACTCAGTCCCTATGTGACCAAACCGTCTTCTCCTCCCCTGACATCCTTCCTCTGGGTTTCCTGTTCACGCAGGCTGGAAATCTATGACACATGTGTGATGTTTTCCCTCTTTCCCCTCCAATTCCAATCACTCCTGATTTTTTCTATTTATTTTTTTTCACAAGCGACCCCCTTTCTCTGCCATTACCTTCACTCAGGTTTTCTTCTTCCACCTGCGGTTTTGCCGTGGCCCACTCACTATACTTCTCATTGCCTCCCCTGATCCCTCCATTTTTTGGAACTGTCTGTTGAATATTTAATACATATGGGTGAAGTCTAAGTAGTTTTGAAAGTTCTTGAGCATGGTTTGTTCTCAGCAGTTTTGGCATCCCATAGTTTTCTTTACACGTGCCACTTGTGCCTGAGTCTGGCTTCAAGGGAGAGCGGAGGACAGCTTCAGCTGTAAGCCTCTCTTTCATGCCTGGCCTGACTCCCATCCCAGACCTGACCTCCTGCTGAACAACTGCTGCCTGAGCCTTACCTTGCAGACACAGCAACTTCTTGCCACTAGTGTCACCTAGAGAGGGTTCCTATCCCCAGTACATAACCCTTCCAGTGGGACAAATCCAATTCCTAGCCCCAGCCCCTCGTATTTTATCCTGCCCCACCCACTCAAGTTGTTAAATCAAAGTGGCCGTTTCCTGAGAATGTCTGGAAGATCAACTGGGTCAGAACTTTTGTTTTTGTTTGTTTGTTTGTTTGTTTTTTGAGACAGAGTCTTGCTCTGTTGCTCAGGCTGGAGTGCAGTGATGTAATCCTGGCTCACTGCAACCTCCACCTCCTCGGTTCAAGCAATTCTCCTGCCTCAGCCTCCTGAGTAGCTGGGACTACAGGCACGTGTGCCTGGCTAATTTTTGTATTTTTAGTAGATACCAGGTTTCACCATGTTGGCCAGGCTGGTCTCGAATTCCTGACCTCAGGTGATCTGCCCGCCTCAGCCTCCCAAAGTGCTGGGATTACAGGCATGAACCACAGCACCTGACCTTGTTTTTGTTTTTGAGATGGAGTCTTGCTCTGTCGCCCAGGCTGGAGTGCAGTGAGGCAATCTTGGCTCACTGCATCCTCCACCTTCTGGGTTCAAGCAAGTCTCCTGCCTCAGCCTCTGGCATAGCTGGGACTACAGGTGTGCGCCACCACGAGCGGCTAATTTTTTTTTTTTTTTGTATTTTTAGTAGAGACGGAGTTTCGCCACGTTGGTCAGTCTGGTCTTGAACTCCTGACCTCAGATGATCCTCTTGATTTGACCTCCCAAAGTGCTGGGATTATAGACATGAGCCACCGCACCCGGCCTCAGACCTTTTGTCCATGTAACCTCCTGTCAGAGCATAGGAGATGCTGTGCGAGAGGGGGGTGGTTCCACTTTTGTGTCTCAGTTATCACCCTAAGGGATGTTCCTCATGCTTAATTATGTGCTATTATTCATATAATGTTAGAGTGCCTACGGTTCCATTTATGTAACATTATTAAAATGACAAGATTATAGAAGTGGAGATTAGTGGTTACTGGGTGTTAGGGATTAAGGCAGGAAGAAGGTAGGTGTGGTTATACAGGGGCAACAGGAGGGATTCTTGTGGTGACGGAACTGTTCTGAATCCTGACTGTGGTGATGGATACAGAAACTAATGCGTGTGATAAAATTGCATAGAACTAAGCATACCACATGCATACACACACACACACATGCACACACACATACACACCAATGCAAGTAAAACTAGGGGAATCTGAATAAGGTTGTTGGATTGTATCAATGTCAGTATCCTGGTTATGCTATTGCACTAAAGTTACGAAGATGTTACCATTGGCAGAAACTGAGTAAAACGGACACCACAGGATCACTCTGCTATTTCTCACAACTGCATGTGAGTCTACACTTGCCTCAAGATAAAAAGTTTAACAAAAGAACTAGCACTTCTAGCCCTAACACTTGCCTAGTGGTATTTGTTGAACTGAACTGTTCATTCTTTCAGCCAGTTCTATCTCTTGGGAATAATAGATTTCATGGGACTTTTGTTCATTTAACGAGAGTATGTTTCTACTCACTCTCCAGAATGTACTGCTAGCTTCAGCTTCTCCAGCTTCCTCTTTATTCTTACATGCATGATTTTGTTGACATCGGTCATACCACCCTTCATGCTCTTGCCTATGGACTAGAGAATCCCACTAACTTTAGTCCAGCCTCAATGCTCCTTTGATTGTTTAAACTGCTCTTCTCCCGCCCGTCACCTGTGCCCATGGGATCAGAGCCACATTCAGCCTTAGCCAAGGGTGACTACACTATTATATGCCACAGTCAAAGCTGGATCATCTCATTGGTTTGTATTTTCCCTTTTTTTTCTTTCCAACATTTTTGGCCACTGAAACATATTAACTGGAATCCCCTGGGGTCCAGTCTGGGAAAGACTCCCAGATGAATTCCCTGAGTTTTAATTGAGAACTCAGCTCTCTGAATCTTTTAAGTTGCAGAACTATCCTCTACTTTTCTACCTTTCTCTGCCCATTCACATAGTCTTGTAGGATCTTAAGATTCCTTCCCATCAACCTCCCAATTTTATACTAAAAAAACTTAGTGTCACCTGCCAAATCTGAAAGTGTACTGCACATTTCATGATCTAGGTTATTTATAAACAAGGTGCATAAATTCGAGCCCAGTTCTAACTCCACAGACATGCACATTCGCCTCCTCCGGATGTTTCCTGCCTTTAGGCCAGAGTCCTATATTTGCTAAATCCCACCCCCGTGGTCCTGTACACGACACACACACTTACACACAGACAACTAAGGACACTTGGCTAAAAGGTACAACTGAGAACGGTGCCTATTACAGAATCCTATTACAGAATCCTAGAGGCGGGAGAAACTGCGAGGTCATCCAATTCAGCGCCCTGTCTAACTCAGGAACTTCATTTGTTAGGGATTCTTTCTTAGCATGAGTCCACAGTTGTTTGTCCTCTGGAAGGACACAGGATCCGTTTCTTTTCTCCTTCACCCATGTTGCTTCTCCACTAATTGAAACTCTGTTTCCTGGGTGATGCACCCACTCATCCCTTCAGTCATTTTGTGCACATCGTAGGCAGACAGAGGATGGCACCACTTGACCCACTTCTGGTCTAAGAGGAGGTAGGATTTGGTGAAAGCAGCCTGTTGGTGGAGTTACATAGACCTGGGTTCCAATATCTATTCCTGCACCTCCTAACTGCACAACCTCGAGCAAATTACTAACTCAGCCTCAGACTTATTTTCCTCATATGTAAAACTTGTCTCAAAGGTTGAAGTGAGAAATGACTGAGGTCGTGTTTGTAAAATACCTGGTACACATTAGCTGCTTTCACTATGATAGCTTATATTACAGGTAGTAGTTCGGGTAATTTTACTGAACACTTACTTTGTGCTGATACTACATCAGGCACTTCCCATGCAGTAATCATTTTTATTCTTCACAATGACTCTAAAATAAAGATGCTGTTATTATTTCTCACTTTACAGATGAGAGAGCTAGGGCCCTGTTAAGTCATTTGTCCGAGGCCACAAAACTGTAAAGCAAGAGAGCTAAAATTCAACCCCAAGTTTTTTCTGAAACTTAGAGTTATGAGTCGTCTGACAACTCTGTGTCATTTTTTTTACTTCCTCCCTCAGAGAACCTCAATACATTAATCAGGCAGTCACCTCACATCTTTCTTAAGAAGAGACAACGTATCAGTACACAGAATATGCATATTTCATCTGCAAGGCATCATAGTACTGCTCGCTCTATGTTTATGTAATTATCATGAATTTTAAATTAATGTCATCTGAATTAATGAGGTCACACATTAAAGAAACAAAACGTGATCTTTAGGATACTTCTGGCTTTAAAATTTGATGATTCTATAGACATAGCAAATTATAGGGAAATAAACAACTAAATAATTGAAGAAATGGGAAGACTACACGTGGCTGGTTTTGACCAAGATTTTCAGGATTTTCAGAACCTGAAAGCCATGGGCTTATGGAGACAAAATGGGCAAGGTCTCCGTCTGTCCAACCTTCTCTGACCTTGTGGCTCTAACACAAGAACCGGGACATAGAAATTCCTGTGTTCACTTCTTTGAGGGAGGCACAGAGACTTTTGTCAGTGTGTTGATTCCTATTAATTAATTTTTAGGAACTCTTCTGTTAATTTTTCCCAAAGTTCAAGGGTATAATCCTTGAATGTTGACCAATTAATTAAAGGTTATGTATAGGCCTATTAATCAAGGTTCTCATCTTTACATTTTCATATCCCCAGGGGTGTGAGGTAGTGATCTCTTGGTAGAAGGAAGAAGGGGCTAACTGTTCCTGTGTCACCCCCAAGAAATGAGCATGGCACTGCATAAAGAGATGAGTTACTTGTGCATCAGGGTGGCAGCCCTGTACAGTGGGAATAGCATGGGCCCAAGATTCATTCTGACTCAGATGTAAGTCTCTTAACCTAAGAGCCTTGGTGTATCCAACTATAGAAAGGAAAAAATAATAATAATATTGCCATAGGGAGGCTGTGAAGATTAAATGAGATAATGTATGTGAAATGCCAGGGTGCTAGCTTGTTCCTTTATGGCTTCATTCAATAAATATTGATTGAGTCCTTCTGTATGCCAGGTCCATGCCATGCACCAGAATTACAATTGGTGACATTGTAAGACAGACATCGTCCCTGCCCTCATGTAGCACACAGTCTAATGGAAAAGGCAGACCAGAAAAAAGTCACAGATACAATTCTGTATTGTGCACTTAAAATTTGTCAAGAGGGTAAATTTCAAGAAAAAGAAAGAGAGGGTAGATCTCATGTTAAGTGCTCTTACCGCAATAAAATAAAGACATAAATAAATGAGCTAGTATATTTAACTACAAAAGAAAGTATGCACGCACATCAATGAATTTATATTGGTAAAGTATTTAGAACATTGCTGGTTACAGAGGAAGTGCTATGGAAGTATATTTTTAATAAAAAATATATTCAATCATTAGGGCTTTATTATAAGGCCATAATTATGGGATGTGGAAAGATTTAATTGCAAAGATCCTTCACCCCAGGATGGTTAATAGAAAGTTGGAAACAACCTTAAAGTCCAACAGTGGATGATGAACTACATTAGTGCATTTTGTGTTGCTGCAAAGAAAGACCCAAGGCTGGGTAACTGGTAAATAAAAGTTTATTTTGGCTTATAGTTTTGCAGACTGTACAGGAAGCAGGGTGTCAGCATCTGCTTCTGGTGAGGCCTCAGGAAGCCTCAGCCTACAATCATGGTAGAAGGCAAAGGGGGAGCCAGCATATCATGTGGTAAAAGAGGGAGCTCTTAAGAGAGAGAGAGGGGGAGGTTCCAGGCTCCTTTAAACAACCAGCTCTTGTGTGAACTAACAGTGAGACACGAGGGATTCACCTTCATAACCAAAACACTTCCCAGCAGGCCCCATCTCCAGCATTGGGGATCACATTTCAACATGAGATTTGGAGGGGACAAACATCCAAATGATATCATTGCCTAAATAAATTATATTAATCCATATACAAATAGAATACAGGGAACGTTAACGTAGCTAGTGTGATAGCGAAGGCCTCCTTGAGGAGGTGACAACATGATCAATGACGTGCGAGAAAGACCCATCCTGTGCAGGGTGGAGGAGGACAGGATAAGAAAGAACATTCCGGCCGGGTGCGGTGGCTCAAACCCATAATCCCAGCTACTCGGGAGGCTGAGGCAGAAGAATCACTTGAATCCAGGAGGTGAAGGTTGTAGCGAGCCCAGATCGTGCCACTGCACTCCAGCCTGGGTGACAGAGTGAGACTCTGTCTCAGGAAAAAAAAAAAGAAAAGAAAAGAAAGAAAACTTTCTTGTCAGAGGGAACAGTAAATCCCAAAGCCAGGAGGTGGGGAGGGACGTGGCAAATCTGAATGAAGAATGAACCCCCAAGTGAAGAGAGAAGAGGAGGGAGGGAGAGGAGAGGAGGGAGAGGTATGGGAGGCTGGGGAGCCCAGCAAGGGCTGACCCTGCAAAGTCTCCTGGGCCATCTGAGTGACGTTAGATTTTATTGCAAGTGCAACAGAAAGTCTTTGATGAGGTTTGAGTTGGCAGATGGCATGATCTGAATTAAGTGTTAAGAAGACTGCATGGAGAGTGGTAGGTAGGGAGAGCAGAGGTGGGAGGCAGGAAGGAAGCTGGTTGAGAGGCTGCCGTAGAAGACCAGATGAGCAATGAAGGTGGCGGAACTGGGTGGTAGAAGTGGGGAGAGCAAGGTGTGGGGGGCCTGGGATCTTGTCTGGAGGTGGCATGAACAGACTTGCTGAGAGATTGGATGTCCAGTCTGTCCAGGTGAGAGAAGGTGAAGAACTAAGGATGCAAAGCCTGGATTTTGGTTGAGTAACTGGAAAAATCAAGGTGTCATTTACTAAAATGGGTAAGACTGGTGTGGGGAGAGAAACACAGGGTTAGGCTTTGGGCATGTTGCATTTGAGATGTCTGTGAAATATCCAAATGGCAAGATCAAACAGGCTGTGCAGAAGCTGGGGAGTGGAGAGATAAAAATAAAAGTTGTCAACCATATTGATGATGTTTAAAGCCTAAATCAATAAGGCTGCTTTCGATTCCCATATATTAATAATAACAGCAACTGCTAGTTTATGAGTTTTCTCTGTCTTATTCTTTGGTTATAGCTGTTATCTTAGTCATTTTGGGTTGCTATAACAAAATACCATAGACTGTGTACCCTAAACAACCACATCTATTTCTCACAGTCCTGGATACTGAGAAGTCCAAAACCAAGGTGTTGACTGATACAGTGTCCACCAGTGATGGCTGCTTCCTACTTAGCAGATGGCTGTCTTCTGGTTGTATCTTCACATGGTAGAGAGCAGAGAGAGAGAGAGAGAGAGAGAGAGAGAGAGAGAGAGAAAGCTCTGGTCTTTTCATCCCTTTCTAAGGGCACTAATCCCATTCATGAGGGCTCCACCCTGATGACCTAATCACCTCCCAAAGGTCTCACTTCCAAATACCATCACACTGGGGATTTAGGCTTCAGCATATAAATTTTGGGGGTACACAAACATTCGGTCCATAGGAGTTGTCAGGCATACCCATTAGATTGTGTACCATCAGGAGTAGTTGTAACTAAGTGACCTAGGAGAGGGGGAATAGGTGTGGAGGAAGGTTCCAGAACTGTTGGAATCCTCTGCTGGGCAGGCTGCTTATCCAATTCCAACCACTGCAGCTGGGATTGAGAGATCTGTCTCATGGCATGGAGGGGCCCTTCCCCACACCTTTGAAAGTATAGTCAGCAACTGTCTTACTTGTAGGTCTGGCTGGTGTGGCCCATCTTGGTAGGTAATGGTGAGTGGGGCTGCTAGTCTGTTTTTTGAGTCTGAAGGGGTTAAGGAGGGCCACACAGATTTCATTGCAGAACAGATGGCTCACAGCCTCTGCACTTATACCTCCCATTGTCTGCTGTCTGATTGTCACCTGGGGGAAGGCTGCCATGCCATGAAAATGTAAGAAGTTGCAAGCTTTATTAGTCCATCACCACCTTACCTACCTTAGCATAGCCTCTTCCAAGGAAACAAACTCTGTGCCACAGGTCATTGGATAAACGCTACATAGGGGCTTCGTTTCTTATTCCTGTGCTGGCATCTAAGGGAACGGAAGAGAAAAATCGATGAGTTTTTGTTCCGTTCTCTATCTTCCCCTGCAGGCAGATATGGCCAGAACAGAGTAATAATATGAAGAAACTTTTCTTTGGCTGCACATAAGAAAATACAGGTTCTACCTCTCATTCTACTACTTACTGCTGCTGACCTTCTTTTGGCCAGTCCCTTGGACATTCTGCATCTTGGCTGGTCCATCTGTAAAGAAGGAGCAGTCTATGCCTGCTCTACCCTCTCCCAGAGCTGTTTTAAGCAGCAAAAGAGACCACAGGTGTGAAGGTGCTTTGGTAACAACAGAGTCGTAGAAATGGGGATTTGTTTGCATGTATTCCGCCAGGCCCCTGTTCTCATGGAAGTGTGTCTGGTGAGGAAGATGAATAAGGCGAGCTGCTTGGTCTAGACAGTGGTCCTTAAAGTGTGGTTCCCAGACCAGCAGCAGCAATACTTGGGAGCTGGACAGAAACACAGACTTCCAGGCCCCACCCTAGACTTACTGAGCCCAAAAGCCCTCCAGGAGTGCCTGATTCCTACCTAAGCTTGAGAACAACTGGTCTAGGCATTCAGGAAAGCACTTCCTGAGAAAATGACTTTAATAAAATCTGAGAAATAATCAGCTCTTAGACAGACCAAGAGGAAGGGAATGCGAGATTCAGAACACCATCCCAGAGGAAGGTCTTGGCGCAAGAGACAGCTTCATCTTTTTGAGAAATTGAAATGAGTCCAGTGTGGTAGGAGCCAAGGAAGAGCAAGTGTAGAAGGCAATGAAAGGAAGCAGCCAGCTGTGAGGGGCCTTGTAAACCGGGGAAAAGATTTTGCAGTTTATGCTCTGGTCAATTGAAAGCCATTAAGGGGTTTGGAGCAGAGAAGGGCCTTTTCTGTCAATAACATGCTATTGTAATTTTAAAACATTTCCTTACAATCCAATAAGGGCAGTTAATTGTCTTAATTAGAGCTTACACTCTAATTCGGGAGAAGGCACAATGCAACTATTGGGGAAGTCTTTGAATATATATATTAAACACAAATTATGTGTTTGGCACTGTGCTAGGCACTATGAAGGAGGCAGAAAGTTACGCAACTCCTTTCAGGGGATTGAGAAGCTGGGTGAGAGGACAAGACAAAGGCGCACACACCGGCACCGGTGAAGGGTGCCAGGCATCTCCAGGTTAAGTCCCCCGGGGGCAGGGCTGGTTGTGGCAGTGGCTTAGAGGGTGGGTAGCTAAAGAAGTGTTGGGGCAGCCAGACCAGGCTTCCTGGACGAGGAAAGGGCTTGGGAGAAAGCACAGGGGCAGAGATGAGCAAAGGATTTCTCTGTATTCCCGGGGAACAGTTCCCTTGGGAAGTACTACAAAATACACTGGGAGGCACAGCTGAGACCAGATGGTACAACCAAGTCTAGGGAGAGGAAACACCCCCGAGCCTGGCTGCATAGACCCCAGACTATCTTGACCCCAAATGAAGCTATCCTTGAGGTTGTGGCCAAGGTCCCTTTTGGGAGGCCTCATGCAAGGGATTGAGGCCTTTTTCTGCAGTTGCCAATGAGAATTCCCTGTTCAGTCTCTTTATCAGGCTCTGGGGCATCCCTGAGAGTTGCTGGCTTTGCCCTTGTTTTTAAACCTTTTTATAGAAGTATAACAATCATAGAAAAAATTACATAAACCTTAAGTGCATAGCACAAAGAATTTTTTTCAAATGAACACACCTATGTTCCCCCTGCCTCCCCACATCATGATCAAGAAACAGGACATTCCCAGCACCCGGAAGTGCCCCCGCCTCTGCCATTCCTCATCTGGCACTGCCCTCCCTGCAGGGAACCAGTCCCGACTTCTAACTTGCTGCTTTTTGTCTTCTATGGGCTCTTTGGTTTCTAGCTTCCCAGCGTGATGTTTGTGAGCTATGTCCACAGTGTTGCCTGTAGTTGTAGATTGATTCATCCTCATTGCTGTGTGATATTCCATCAGGTGACGTGTATACACTGCCATTGATTTGTCTTGTTCTACTGTCAATGGGCATTTTGGTAGTTTGCAGTTTGGGGCTATCATTTTGTTGCATTTTAAACTTTGACCTGGGTCTTCCTTTTCAGTTTGCTCAGATTCCCCTTATTGTCACTAATTTCCTCTCCTCTAAAACTGTTGTACTCTGTTGTATGTGTGTTTGACAATGGAAACAAATAAAAAAAGAATACTAAATGAAAAATTGGCACCACGAGATTGGAGGGATGAGGGGGGAGGGCACTACCAGAGAGCCACCTCTCTCCTCCCTCCTCCCCTCTCCTCTCCCCTTCTTCCCCTGCTTCCTCCCCACTCCTCTTCTTCCTCAGAGGGCCTAAGCTAAGGGACACCACTGCAACCAGGTGCTGACAGCCAGGTACCAGCAAAACTGGCCAAGGTAGATTGCCCTCCAGAGCCTGTGAAGGGCAGGAAATGTATCTTGTTCATTTTTAAAGATGGCTTGGTGTGGACACTTGGTAAATGTTTCTTGAATGAATGAGTTTCTGATATAATAAAGTGTCTGTGTTTCCTGTTAATCTATGAGGTGCCACGTAGGCCCTGAGAATACAGTGGGGTGTGACATCCTCCCCTTGAGGATCTTCTGAAACACATTTGGCCGAGCACTTAGGCCAACATCAGGCACCATCTCAGCATGTTCCGCCTCCTGCCTCCTGTAATTCTGCCACAGCTCTGTGGGTAGTCCCTCTTCTTACCACATGCACAGGTGGGGAAGTTGAGGCACAGCTGCCTGAGTGGTGTCCCAGGTTTATACAGTTAGTCAGGGGACATTCAAAGCCAGGGGTGGGCTTGAATTTGTGCTCTAACTGCCACTGTGACACTTGAATACTGCCAAGTGAGCATAGCTAAACAGAAGGGACAGCAGACAGTGAGCGGTCCCCAGAGCAGCTGGTGGGGAAGCCCAGCTTTTCTGAGGAGGAGGGGCCCGAGTGGGGCCCTCAGGAAGGTGATGCTTAGAGAGGTGGGAAGAGCAGGCGGGTCCTGTGAGATGGGGGGCAGCTCGAGGACGCTCCTGGTGTGCATGGAGATGTGTAAGTCAGAAGGTCAGGGACACTGCCAAGGGCAGGTGAGACTATGGGGAGGGGAGAGGTGTCTCTGGGCTGTCCTGGGAACACAAACCCTAGGAGTACATTGTGGCCAATCAGTCCACGTAGAGCTGCCTGAATCAATATTTCGCACTCTAGAATCTGCAGCTTTGCTGCTGTTGGGGTCCCTCGTGGCCGCATCTCTGCAGTCCTGACTTGTGCATTCTATGTGAGCTCAACTTTCCTCCCCAGCCGGTCTCCTAAGTCAGCTTCTGCCAACAGCCCGCAGGATATGTGCTCAAGACCTTCACCTAGCCTTCAGAGCGACATAGCCCCCACCTCACCCTCCTGGCACCCATTCCAGAATTTAGCCACAGGAAGCTCAGAGCTGAGACCTGCTGGAAGCCTCTCCCTTTCCACAAACCAGAGAGCCTACCCCTCTTTCCATCCTGGGTAACCCTCAACAATACACAAATTCATTAACATTTATTAAGGTTTTACAGGCTAGGTATTAAAACACTATGCGAAAAGCCCTGCAGGCTAGCAGAAACACTTTAGAATTCTCTACTTATCCAGCAGTTTGGTAATTACCTTGAAGGTGGTATGGTTAGAAAGCACATATCTGCATACACATGTTCATTTCCTTCCTTCCTTTAAGTCTAGCTCAGTGGTTCTCAAACTTGCTAGTTTAAAAAAAAAAAAAAAGCCTTCCTGAACAAGGTGGTCAGCATGAAACATGCAGGCTGCATGTTCTGGGGGAATTTAAGGGATTTTCAAGGATAGTTTTGAATCTATGCAATTCAAAATATCAATTTTTGCCTTTCGCACTGACATCAGAATTGAAGTCCCACTGTACTGCTTAGGTGGTTGGGAAGAAAAGCCTCCCCACTTCCTCCTCCCAGAGGCACTAAGACCTATTCACACCCGCTGCCCCTGATCCCCCAGGGACCCTGGCAGCTGCGTACCGAGCCTCACCAGCAGCCAAGAGAGCACTTTTTGGATACTTGGAAATCCCTGCCACTTATGGGGGGATTTAAGTCCAGCTGGCTCCCTAGCTGGGCCTATTTTTTGGAGCCAGAAGTTTGTCTCGCCACTAGACAATGAGCGTATCAAAGCTGAGACTCTTTCCCATCTCTGCTTCTCCTTCTTACACCTCCCCCACCCTCATCCTCCTCTCCTTCCTCCTTTGCTTCATCTTCCCTCTCCTTCTTGTCCTCTTCCTACGCTCTCTCATTTCTCTTCTCCTTTCTCTCTTTTTTTACCCCTTCCCCTGCCAATGTTTTCATCATTGAGCACAGTGCCTGTCATGGAACACCATTCTATAAAGTTTATAAACGAATGAATGAATGAATGAATGCCATTCTTTGGCTTCAGAGGAAAATCCACCTATTTTCCCGTTCTTTTTTCAATCTAGGGCTCTTGGAACTAGATTGTCATGTTCACCTTTCTGTCTTTTTCATTATTCCCTGAAAGCACAAACTCAATTTAGGCTTTAGTGAAAAATGAAGAGCATTAGACCAACCTTTTAAAATTGCTTGGTCAGTACTTCCTGCTTGTCTGTACTTCACAACGCTGTCATCACGGGGTAATTATAACATTAAGTATGTACCTGATCAGCAAGTTGCTTTTATTAAAATCCCCTGTTGGTTTCTAGGCATCTCATAGCTCCTGGGGCATTTGTTCAACTCCTTGGGCCTCAGGCAGTTTCATCTCCAGTGCAGATAGGAGCCCAGGTCCAGAGGTCCTGGGTCAACACGTCCCTACCACCACCCTATTCCCCGACTTTCCTGATAGTACTTTTGCCAACTGTGTGGTGAGCAGCTCATTATGGTCACCTCTAGAAGAAGGGGCTGCCTATTCATAGATGAGAATACCGAGGTATCGTGGAGGGAAGGGAGGAGCCCCTGGGAACACGGCTTCTCTTGGCAATCCCTAAACCACATCCAACCCACAGTGAGATTCCTCTCTGTGTTTTTGCTGGTGGAGGCCACCTGGACCTCCTTTCACGTTTCCCTGCAGGGGTGATGGCAACTGTGGCAGGGCCATTTTTTACTTTACAAGCTCCTTTTTACGTGTGTTTACAAATTCTATAGCTCAGCAAGATTCTAGTTCTGGAGTCAGACAGATCTGCTTATAGGTGCGGGCCAAATAACCTGACTGTTCTGAGCTGTGTTTTCTCTGCTGTAAAATGGGAATAATAATAGAACCTATCTCATAGAATCTCTGGTGAGCATCAAAAGATGTATGTAAAAGGCTTCACATAGATCCTGGCACATGGTAAACACTCAACAAGTGTGGCTAATATGATAATAGTAGTGCTACTTAGCAGTTATCCAGTAAGGAAGTTGCCAGACTTTTGACAATCTCTGGAGGAGGATGGTATTGCTTTCTTGCAGTTTGAAAAATCTTTCAATGCCCGGGGGAGGAGGTGGACTTTGGTACAGCACTGACCAGAGTCTCTACCACCAAGTAGACTCCTCTGCTTTATAAAAGTTATAAGCAAGAACTCATTGAGAGCATTCATTCACTCAAGAAATGTTTACATGCCTGCTGCGTGCCAGGCTCTAGACAAGGATCATCCTAGACAAGGTCTTGTTCTCATGGAGCTAATATTCTTGAAAGGAAGACAGACAATAAGTGTGTAAATAAATGGACAAGGCAATTTTATATAGTGATGAGTATTGTGAAGAAAATAAAACGGGGTTCTAGGACAGTAGGAAATTTGGGGAGGGGTGCTGTTGAGTTCCAGTGGTTAATAAAGGAGCCAGTCAGCGTGAACTGGCTATGCGGTCAGGTGGGGGGGCAAGTGCCAAGGGCCAGATCCTAGAACCAGATCCTAGAACCAGCGTGGTGTGTTCAAGAAACAGACAGGAGTTCAGGGTAACTGGCCTGGGAGAGGCCAATTCCAGGTGAGATCAGAGAGATTGGCAGGGCCAGATTATGAGAGCCTGCTGATCACAGAACATCACACTCCCAAGCCCAAAACCAGATTTCTTTTTTATAACCATGGGCCAGATGTATGGGCCACACTATAGCACTATATGATATAGACCAGACCACTGGAAAAGGCTTCCTTCATGAGGCAGGATTTAGTATGAACCTTGGATGGGAAATAAAGTTGTGCATTGTGCTACAGAGAACCCTGGCATGAACTGGAGCACAGACACTTTTTAAGAGTGCTGTGGAGAGTCACAGTTCCCAGAATCTGTCTTGGAGCACCAGCACCCAAGAGGTGCTCCTCAACCAAAGGTTTCTGGGAGTCTTCCAAAAGTTTGGGGAAATGGTAAACTAGATTTTATTCTCCAAGGTTAAAAAATGTGTCCGGGCACAGTGGCTCACACCTGTCATCCTAGTACTTTTGGAGGCTGAGGCAGGTGGATCACCTGAGGTCAGGAGTTTGAAACCAGCCTGGCCAACATGGTGAAATCCTGTCTCTACTAAAAATACAAAATTGGCCGGTCATGATGGCACATGCCCGTACTCCCAGCTACTTGGGAGGCTGAGGCAGGAGAATCGCTTGAACCTGGGGGGTGGAGGTTGCAGTGAGCTGAGATAGTGCCATTGCACTCCAGCATGGGTGACACGAGCAAAACTCTGTCTCAAAAAAAAAAATGTCGTTAAAGGTTGAGGAAGCCTTGCAGCAAAGACACCTGTCTCACCTTTTGTAATCCAACATGTCCCAAGCTTACTTAACCGTGAAACCTTATTTATTTACAGAGTCCCTATTAACATCCCCCAGAATTAAAGTGCCAGGGAACACCCTTTGGGAATCACTGTTGAAGAAGAAGCCAGGGTTTGTGTGAGCCTGAGGGATCAGTAGCATCTGTGATTCAGCACTTGTGCCCGTGATAATTCATGGTGATGATCCCCTCCAGTGACTCAAATCATTGAGTGTCAACTGTGCCTATGTTAGCCCTGATCCACTTGCTTTATTTTCATTTTGCTAGCAGGACAAGGGAGTGCCTGGAGACAGGAAATGAGTAAACTCACATCCATAACCCCCTGGGACTGGGCTGAGACTGGGTTGGTTATGAAAATGCTCTTGGGCCTTAGACGACAGCCCCGGAACCCCCAGTGATAAGCTTCTCAAAGAGTTGAGGTCCACAGCCTGTGAGGAGCCTTTCTGTAGGATGAGCAGTGTGTGTACTGTGTGTGTGTGCCTCTGTGTGTGTGTGTGTGTGTGTGTGTGTGTGCAGGGGGGTTATCAGGGTGAAGGTGATTGCATTCTCAGCTCATCTCTGCTGCTAGCAACATCAAACACATACTTTTAAACTTTTGGCTCTAATTTCCCTGCTGATGACAGTAAACCTTAGTTTGTCAGTCACTTGGATGGATCTGGGTTGGTTTTCGGCTCATGAATCGTAGAAATGGAAGTGACGTAGTAAGAAATCATCCAGTCTCCAGTCTCCTCCCCTAAGAACCAGGACAATGGTTCTAACCTTCAGAAGATTGTGAACTCCTTTGGGAATCTAATAACAGCTATGGACCTAACCCCAGAGAAAAAGCACAAATGGAGATTCAAGTAACATTTCACCTACTATATCAGAGGTTTACAGGCCTTTTTATGTCCTTGGTACCCCTTATGTGTGATATGGTTAATAACTGTTCCTTGAATACCTATTTAAATCCTGTTGTTCATTGTCTCACCTTGCTCTTAGGATAAGGTAAAATATTCCCTAAAATGGCACACGAGGTACATGATCTGCACCTGCTCCCCACTGGCCCCGGGGGGCACTGCTCATTCTCTCTGCCCCCATCTGCTGCTGGTCTAGCCACGCAACAGCACCTCTGAGAGTTCTTGCTCTTACCCACCCCTGCTTTCCACAAGGCATATGCATGCGTTGTTTTCTTTCCCTAAAATGTCTTTTTTCCTTTGTTGTCCAGACAACTCCTTCTTATCCTTCAGATAGCAGTTCCGGGGTGACTTCCTCAAGGAAATTTCCTTCACCTCCTTTTCCAGAACTTATACAACAGATCATCCATTCTATGCCCTTTACCAAGTCCTATATGTCAGATTATCCATCCTGTATTCTCATAGCACTGTAGACGTTTCTTTCAAAAGCGTATGTCACAGTTGAAATTTACCTCTGTTTTTGAGATTAATTAATTAAGGCCTGGCTTCCCCCACTAGACAGCAAGTTTCATGAGGGCAGGTGCTGGATCTTTGGTGCCTAATAATGTGCTCAGCATACAGTAAGTGCTCAGTAGTAACTTCGCGTAGGGTGAGAGTATGATCATTGATTATGAATGCTCCCTATATATCAAAGCAACCCATTCCATGGTCCCAGAGATTTTGTTCTGTTAACTTCTGGTTTTGAAAAGTGACAATTTTTTGCTTGCATCCATTTTACTGACAAATTATGGGAGGTTTTGTCCTTTAAGTAAATCAATGACCACTTTGGTCTTTGCAAAGCTGTTGGCCAGGGTTCTACAATAGAAATCCCCTTCAATGAATTCAGCGTCAGGCAGAACTTGGACATCACTCTGCCCACCCTCAGGCTGCAGGAGTATATGATAACCATATCCATCAGCAGCCATCCATATGATCACATTTACATTTCTGTCCTTTCATAATTCCTGCCATCATTCCTGCCTCCCTTTCTTCTTTTCTTCCTCCTTCCTTCTTTTCTTCCAGCAGTTGCACAGGTACCCTCGCAACCTAAGTAGAGAATGTGACACACACGCACACCATACACACACACCACACACACAACTCTTGGAGGAAATTTTATGTGTATATGTGTGCCCCGTATGTGGGAGTAGGTGTAAAGTAGGGCAAAATTTCACTACCAATAATTCTGATTCATAGTTGAAATTGACTCTGCATGGTAGTGGGGCACCGAGACCCCTTCTAGCTGGTGGGTCTTTTCCCCTCATCCCCATTGATATTCCCCTCCTCTCCATGAACACAACCTAATATTGGTATTACTGAAGTCTCAAGCCCCAATATTTTTCTTACCCAATCACCCTTACCTGCTCACTCTGCCCCTGCCATTTGGTCCAGCTGCGTTCTGGGGACTTCATACAGTGGGGAGAACCTCACCTCACAAGGATGAGAAGCTGTGGGCATTCCCTGTTCTCATTTCCTCTGTCCTTTATGCTAGAGCATTTGCTCCAACCTCCACTTCCTTTCAGTATCCTGCCACAGAAACATCCGAGGAAGATGGGAAGCCTATAGTTTCCCACCTGCAACTCATTTCCCCACCTGCAAGAGAGGAATGTTGGTGGAACCAGGTGCTGGAATGGATGTTTGCGCAGCCCCAGGAGCTCAGTACACACTACTGTTGTTAGGTCTACACAGTCCAATGCAGGCACATGACAAAGCTGCTCTGATAGAAATGAGCCCTGCCTGCTCAGTCCTTTCTTACTATCCTCCATCTCCATGTGGTCCAGTCCCAGCCTGTGGTCCATGCTATGGGTCCTGGAGGTAATCAGCTGTCACTAAATTGAGAACTGTCCAGAGTCTTCACTGCCCCTTAACCATAACTAACCTGGGAACTTGAGTGTTTATCCTTGGAGAGTGAAGTGGTAACTGTGTGGGGTAGTTGGTGAGAAAGTTCATTGTCAAGTGGGAAGAAGAACAGACATGTGGGATATAGCTGTGTGCCCTGGTAAAGCCTGAGAATGATGGTCAGTACAGCCCAAGAACACCCCCAGATTCAGATTCTTCGTCCAGTTCTTGCTTTTTCTGAAGTGTGACGGTGGGGCTTTTCTTGTATTCCTTCCAATAAATCCCTTGTTACTTGAAGTCACTCAAACAAATATCTGTTCGTTGCAACCATGAGAATCTAGCCAGAACCTCTCCTCGGGTCTTTCATAGATATAATATATATTTTTTCTTTTTTAGGATGGTCATAGATGTATCTGCCATATTTAACCTATCACACTACAGGCTTCTTAAGGCAGGCTCTCCTTCAAAGTCAACTTTCTAGCTTCTGATGAAAATTGGTTTGAAAAAAGAGAAGGAGGGAAGGAAGGAGGGGGGAGGATGGAGAAAAAGAGGGAGGGAGAGAAGGAAGGAGAGGAAGAAGGTAGAAAAGAGGAGTGAAGAGGAGGATGGAGGAAGGAAAGGAGAAGGGAACGTTAGTTTTCAGGAGGGACCTGCATAGCCTATACGTCATTACACTGTGTACCATGGCTGGGGTAAGAGTGGAGGATGAGGTAGGTCAAAGGCATAAGGGTCAAGGAACAGTTATTGGCTAAGTTTTCCATGAAGAAGGGTCAGATAAGGCCTTGATTCAGAACAGAGAGTTTTGTTTTTGGATAAACTAGTTTCGATGGGTATTTTTGGAAGATGAAGAAATGGAAGTTTATTTCATTGTCAATTCTGCCCGTTTCAATTTGGCAAACAGATTTCTTCACTCCCCTTTGTGTTTCAGACAGCACTAAGGCTCTTGTTCATTGTAACTCCCCAGGACTCACGGAGCGCAGCCCCCAGCAGAGGCTGCCTGCTATTACCCAGAAGGCCAATAGAGGGCTCCCAAGAACACTGAGCAAAATTTGGTGGAAGACATCAAGATGTTCAACTGTAATGGCAGTACTGGTTATTATCCTTCTCTAACATACAAACTGATAAGACTGTATTCATATGATAAAGGTGCAAATGGAAGAGCACCTGCCATGAATGCAATAGAAGCAGTTGCTGCATTAAGGAAACTTGGATTAGATTAGCTTTAAGTTTCTTTCTGAACACAAGCCAGTGTCTTGACCGGAAGTATCTCTTCTAGAATTAGCTGATGATAGAGCTTTATAAAACACTTGCATGTTGGATATGTTCAAGACTTGATTCTGTTCACTATGTTATCTTGGAAAAAATTGCTTAATATCTCTAGGCATTATTTTGTCTTTTTTTTAAATGATGGGGGTAATGTTAGGGTAGTGGGAGTTTGGCTTTTTAAGACCTTTTAAGGTAAAATCTTCTGTTACTATAACTGATAGAAACCACATTCAGAAAAATCTGGCCGAATATGATTTATTCAAAGGGAGAAGAGTTAATCCTATCCCCTAACACAAGGCTAACAAAATGATTCTTAGAGTAATACTTGGAGCGGTGACTGCAGTGTTTGATGGCCATTGAGTTAAGACAGTATAGTGAGGGTGAAAAGATAACAGTAGCCGTATCTAAAAGACTTAGATTGAAATCTTGACTTTATTTAATAGCAAATCACTTCACCAAGTCTCAGTTTTCTTAAATCTGTAAAATTGGGATAATCCAAATTGCCTTGTCTACTCCAAAGTGTGAAGGTCAGATAAGATAATGCAATAGAAGTATTTTGCATACTACAATGTGCCATGTAAATGTTCAGTTATTAATAGATGCAATAACTTAATGTTTCAAATTTTAGTGACACAGTATGTGTGAAAGTCTGAAATTCTTTCTTTCCCGAATTCAAGATCTCATATAGCCATACTGCAGCCATAGTTTTTCTTTGTAATCTTTCAACAGAAAACACATTTGAAAAGAGACATAGAAAGATTTCTGAGATGCAAAGGGAAAGGAATTAGATTCATAGATTTTAGAACAGAAAGGAATTCAAGAAACTAAGCAAAACCAGATGATTTATAGACAATATTGAGAATATGTTTGAATTACTAACTGTTACTAGACTGAAGTGGGAACTGAGCTTTGTCTTTATCCATTTATTCTTTCATTTCAGTTGCTTGAAGTTCTAGGAATCCACATTTTGGAACTGTGGAAAGAACTAGAGTCTTGCAGTGGGATTATCTATCTCTTTATCTCTCCAAGCATTTGTAGGACATGTACCTATTTGCCAGATACCACGTTAAATGCAGGAGGCAATACAAAGATGTACAAGATATTGCCCCTTCCCTCAAGGCACACTGAATACTCTGCCTGTCACATAGTAAGTGACTTAAAAGAAAGAGATAGATTTCTGGGTTTGTTTTTGTTTGTTTTAGGATATATGAGACATATATGTCAAGGAGGCGGTATAACGTAGCAGTTAAGAATAAAAGCTATAGATTTAGACAGCTTTGCACTGTAATCTCAGATTTGCTAAGTAGACTAGCTTTGTCTTGAGCAAATAATTTGGCTTCTCTAAACCTGAGTTTCCTCCTCTATGAATTGTGTTAATGCTGCCTACCTTGGAGCATGACTGTAAGGATTAAATGAGCTGATGTGTGTAAAGTGCTCAGCACTATGAGTAGTGTGTAGTAAACTCACAATTATTATTATATCATTATCATTATTACAGAGCGACACAACACCAAGTCATAATATATCTCACAGAAGAGACACCAAGAGCCACAGAAATCCAGAGAAGGGAGCACTCAGCAAAGGCTTTGTGGGGAATGACCCTGGACCATTTAAGGATAAGAGAATTTTCTATTGGCAGAGATAAAGAAAAGGTCATTCCAGAGAACGCAGAAGAAGGGACACAAACAAAGGAGGGAAGCAAGAGAGAATGTGCCAAGGGCTGGGAATGGCGAGACAACCATTTTGTCATGAACAAAAAGCTTGTGTTGTGATCACTTAATGTATTCATCCTGACTCTGAAATTTCCATAAAGATACCTTGCCATGTCTCCCTGTGTAGAAAATTGCCGCAATTATCCTAATGCTTTGCTGGTCTGAATTGGAAGGCAGTTATGTGAAATCTTGAAGATGATGAGATTTGTTTCCTGGAATTCTCAGCCACTCATTCTTCTACCAGTTTTCTCTCTCACTGGGTCCTCCCCTCTGCCAGTCATCCGGCATCTCTAGGTACTTAAAAAAACTTACTCATCTTTCTTATTATATAAATAATATTTGTTTATTGAAGGGAGATTAGAACACGCAAGAAAATCTATCTCCTGTGACCCCCATGGAATTTGACCCAGCCATCTCCTCAAAAACACATTCTTAGAAAAGAAACAGATAAACTAATTTGCACTAAGGTGGAAATGGTTTTCAATGGGACCAATTTAAGAGCCCTTTGCAGACTACCAGGCCTAGAACTTCAGAATATATAAATAATTATCAGTGTAACTTTAGGCATCAGAAAGCATATAGGGAAGTCATTTTGGGTGGTAAAAGTGATGCCAGTATCTACTTAAAACATTAAAGTATATTATACATAAGCTGTTGGGTTGTGCCTTTTAAATAACTTTTAAACATTTTTATTCAAAAATAATTTAAATAATTTATATACCATGAAAACACTTATCTTTTGTGTCCAGTAGGATGAGTTTTGACAACTGCATGCACCTGCATAACCCTCTTCCCTATTGAGATATATAATATTTCTATCATCACAGAAAGGTTCCTCATGCCCCTTGCCAGTAATCTCCTCTACAGAGGCAAACACTGTTATTCATTTTTCACCCACAGGTTCCTTTTGTCTGTTCTAGAACTTCATATATGTGAAATGGCACAGATGTACTTTTGCATGTCTGGCTTCTTCCACTTATCATAATATCTGAAAGATACATACACATTGTTGACTCGATCAGTGGTTTGTTCCTTTTTATTTATAGTATTCTATTGTATGGTTATTCCATTAGTTTGTGCATTCTCCTGTTGATGGACATCTGGATTATTTCCAGTTTGTAGCTATTATGAATAGAGTTGCTATAAACATTTTTATACAAATCTTTTATCTTTCTATCATTAGTTTTTAACAATTTGATTATGATGTGCCCTGGTAGAGCCATCATTGTATTTATCATGTGTGGGTTTCATTGAGCTTCTTAGATCTGTAGATTTGTATTTTTCATCAAATTTGGGGAAAATAATCAACACTATTTTCAAAAATAATTTTTCTGACCCAACTTTTTGTCTCACTTTTATTTAGGCCAATTACATGTATGCTACACTGCTTAATATTTTTCCATAGATCACTGTGGCTCTGCTCCTTTTTTTCCTTTTTAACATTTTTCTACTCTTTAGTTTTGATAGTTCCTATGACTGCTCTTCAAGTTCACTAATCTTTTCTTCTGCAGTGTCCTCTGTTGTTAAGCCCATCCAGTGAACTTTTCATTTTAGATATTGTATTTCTCTGTTCTAGAATTGCAGATGGATTCTTTTTAAAATTTTTTTGCTTACCATTTCTCCATTGTAATTGTTTCTTTGTTTCTTTATTAAATTCATATTTTCCCTTAAATATATGAACAACTTACAATACCTATTTTAAAGTCATTTAAATGAATGCTAATCAATTCTTCTCTATCAGTTCTGATTTGTTTCTATTGACTGGCTTTTCTTCTGGAAATGAGTCACATTTTCTTTCTTCTTTGCCTATCTGGTAATTTTTGATTGTATGCTAGACATTATTGGTGTTACATTATTGACTGCCTTGGTTGTATTGTCTTCCTTAATAAATAGTTGAATTTTGTTCTGGCAGGCAATTTACTTGTGAATCAGTTTAGTCCTTTTGAAGCTTGCTTTTAAGCTTTTAAAGAGATGATCTAAAGTAGTCTTTAACCTAGGGCTAGTTTAGGTCTACTCCTAAGCATGGACTTTCTGGGGCTTCTATGAATTTATCGAGGATTCTCCACAGTCTTGTGCCATCTCCAGTAGATTGGGGTACAGTATCTTGCAGTTATGGGAGCAATTATCTTTGGTAATTTTTCTTTCTCTAGTAGATATTTTCCTGGCTCTGTGAAGTCTTATACTGCACATGTGCAGCACAGTATTCAGCCAAAGACTCAAGGGAATACCTATGCACATATGTAGATCTCATTGTTTGCACTGCTCCCTTCTTTCTGGTGCCATATCCTACAAATTCCAGGCACCTCAGTAGCTCCAAATCCCAATATCTCTTCCCTGGCCTCAGCAAGACCATGTTTTGGCCTTCTTTTGTGATGTCACTCTCCAACAAGTGCCTCCAGATAGAAAATGAGGTCAATTCCATGCCTTACCTTATCTGTTTCCCTACAGAAAATTATCTGTATAATTCCGGATAGGCTAAGTTATACTGTGAAACATACAACTCTCAAAATATCAGTGGTTTAAAACAACAGAGGACAACTTCTAGTTCATAATACCTCTCTATCAAAAGTTGAGGGGGATGTCTGTGTTCACAGTGGGATCAGGGATTACAGTCCTTTACTGCCTGCTGTCCAGTGTTTGAAAGCAGTTATTTAATATGAATATTTTTTAGTTTCAAAAATGTTTGCACTAGGACACATAGCTCTGTACCAGTTATTTTATCTTGACCAAAGTGAAAGAACACATAAAGTAATGCTGTCAGTTCATTTTGCATATGGAGGAACTGTAGCATTGACCATGGATTACCTAAGAGCTCCATATTAAGCTGGAATAACAGTGACATTTTTCAGCTCCTGGTTTCTCCAACCAACCATGTAATCTCTAGTAGAAAGTAAATAGATTTTGGAGCTAAATTGATATTCATGAAA
The DNA here is from genome assembly GCF_000001405.40 of Homo sapiens. Classification (NCBI taxonomy): domain Eukaryota; kingdom Metazoa; phylum Chordata; class Mammalia; order Primates; family Hominidae; genus Homo; species Homo sapiens. The sequence continues at coordinate 29,836,696 of NC_000002.12, read as the reverse complement.
ACCAAAGCATGTTTCACAAGGAGGTAACAGATTAGGGGTCTAAGCTCTGATTTGCTGCAGTAGCCATTAGTGAAGTTCTTCCTTATTCTGGCTTAAGGTGATATTACACTTACTTATACTTAGCAGGACAAACTCTCTTCTAGTTGGATGGGGCCACAAAATTAGCTCTGGCTAGGGAGTTGTGAGCAGAAGTGGTATATGTCAGTTCTGAGTGAACACTTATTGCTGACACGAGCATTCCAATCTCTATTTTTTTCATGGTGACTAGCAGTGTTCAAAATGGTGACTCGGTCAGCCTGGGTCTCTAAGTGACTAATGTTAGCAGAGAGCCCCTCTCTACTTTCAATGGCCGGGTAGTATGAGCAAGAGGTAGTTCTCTATTATGTCCAACCACTGCAATTTTTGAGGTTTGTATATTTTCATAATGTAATTTAGCCTAACCTGAGTGATACAGATAACTTTGATAAAATTTGCTATTTTGATTGTCTAGGTTGGTTCCCCAGAAGCAGACCCTGAAGTGAGAATTAGTATACAAGGGACTTATTAAAAGAAGTGCTCCCTGGGAACATTGCTAAGGAAGTGCAGGAAGCAGGATGGGGAAGGGAAGAAGCTGAGTTATGGAATGATCTCAGGCAAAACCCCCTCATTTGTCATGCTGCAGCATGATCTACAGGGGAGCTATGGAATGGAAGTTGTGCCTCGGTGATGTCTCAACTCAAGGCAAGTGAGTTGGACTATATTAGTCCATTTTCACACTGCCGATAAAGACATACCCAAGACTGGGTGATTTGTAAAGAAAAAGAGGTTTAATGGACTCACAGTTCCGCATGGCTGGGGAGGCCTCACAATCATGGCGGAAGGTGAGGCTTGTCTTACATGGAGGCAGACAAGTAAGAACGAGAGCCAGGCAAAGGGGGTTTCCCCCTATAAAACCATCAGATCTTGTGAGACTTATTGACTACCATGAGAACAATATGGGGGATACCACCCACATGATTCAATTGTGTCCCATCAGGTCCCTCCCATAACTCATGGGAATTATGCGAGCTACCATTCAAGATGAGATTTGAGTGGGGACACAGGCAAACCATATCATGGACTTTCTTATATCCACATACAGTCTGGGTTGGGGAAGGGAGAGTGGTGAATGGGGAATCTGTAGAAGGAGATACACGAACATCTGGATGAAGCACCAGCATGGTATACTACTGTGATCCCAGGGGAGAAAGAAAACACTCCATAACTTCATTTTCAGTTCTGTACAATGGGAAGACACATCGTTTCTTGTCTCTTGTAAGAATGGCATGGAAGAAATGCACAGCAATGTTATTTGAGGGTAGAAATGCTGGTGGTTTCAGTACTCTCAGATGGAAATACCTTTCCCCCCTTATGTTATTAGGTCTTAACTGTCAATATATCCCTATAATATGGCCACTGAATTTTACCCCAAAACGTTTACATTCTCTGCTACTTTCTCAGCCTCTAAATCAGCTTAGAATGAAAAAAAGAGCATCAAAATTTGCCTTCAACTCTTGCTACTTATTATTTGCTAGCTGCTAGCAGGATACTCAGCCTTTTGCTGCACAAAAAGACATGGGTCAAAATTGCTTGTTTCTTTGTCACCACTTGATTTACCCACTCACCAGCCCCGCCTGAATGACTGCTGCCTTTTTATTTGGCTTAGATTGCAAGGCTCTGCGAGCTTGTCTAATGGGGCAGTTTTCTTTACCATGAGCTCTGAATGAGTTACACTGCCTTTGTGCTCTTTTGAAAGGTAAAGCAAATGGAATTTTGCCTGCCATGATTTGAAGTGAAGGTGTGTGATTCTTTTGCTGCAATTGATGGTACTGTTAGTGCTGAAGGCAGATCAGGAAACTCTGGTCTTTCTGTGTTTTGGTGTGACTAATGTGGAAAGACTTCTCAGGTCACCACAGTAAAGTGGTTTGGGACCAACTGCCAATTAGGGGAGTACAGAATCATACCCCTCATTTTCTTTTCCTCCTATTTTTGTGATCTCCCCTCTCTATACTCGCACCCTTTTGGCTTGTTGCCATTTCTAGACAAAGTATTTCCTATTGCAATCTCAGTTTTTCATCTTGATTTTTAAGCTGATAAAATGTCTATTATATTGGCATTATAGCTGATGTCTAAGCAAACTTCACTAAGAACTTTGAAAAATCTTTACTGTTCACTCCCACCCTACTTACTTTCCACATACTGACATTGTCCTAATTGTTTAGAGTTGGTACTTCCCCTAGAATTTTCTGCCTCCAGCTCTGTCAACTCATATACCAAAATAACATGTCAAATCAGTTGAGAAAATTGATGAGACTGGCTACTGCTACTTGGCATTGTGTCAAGCCCACAAAACCTGGCAAAATCAGCTGAATTTTTCACTTTTTTTCTAATTGGGTGAGTACCATGTAGACAATAAACATACTGTGTGATTAGAGCTCTCAGGCAGAAAGAAGCAGTCTCATATTTTCCCCAAACATCATTGGCTGAGAAGTTAGTGGTTTTGACCTTACCAGATGTGTGGCCTTGCTGGTCATATTAATTTAACTAACATTTTAGAGTCTCATACTCCTGACTTATGTCTTAGGATGAGTTTAATAATATTTTATATACCTTTGCAGTTTACAAAGTGCTTTCGTATACCCCATTTTTTCTGCCCAACCATGTGTCCTATTGATTTTGCAGAATTAAACTGTGCTCCCTGGCTTGAGATAATGAGGGCTGGGTTGGGCTGAGGAGTGCAGTTGATATTGGTAATGTCAAAGTCTATAAGAGATCTCGAGTAATCATGTAATTAAGCTTCCAAGGACAATGGCATCAAAACTGTCTAGAGCTGGATGTGGTGAGATATGTTTGTAATTTTTCAAGAAAGGAGATGCTGCATGCTTGAGATGCTTTCAAGGAGATACAGGGTAGACCTGGGCTCCAATCCTGAATCTACCACCTATGAACGGTGTCACCTTGAGTAAATTCTACATCTGTGAGCCTCAGTTTTCTCATTTGTAAAATGGGAGCTAAAATGCCTGGAACATGCAATATAGTCAAGATGAAATGAAACAATGCCTGTGAAGCATGTGCCCAGTGCCTGGCACCTGGTAAGTGCTCCATAAAAGGCAGTGATTATTCTGGGCACTGAAGGATTCTTGCTGTTGGATTTCTTCCTAATGTTTGCTTCCATCTTTTTTAGAAAGCTCAGGATACGGAAAATAAATGAGTGCTTCAACCCAACTAGTGAAAATTCACACTGTAGAGCATGAGAGATGATCGTGTCCAAAGATGGACCTGAAAACAGGCAGATTTCCTATTTTGTTCAGTGTCTTACAGGTTCAGGGCCAAGCCCGGAGGCTGCTGCCTGGAGGCTGCTGCATTATTGATGTGGACTTGCTCCTTGCACAGGTGCCGTGAGGGGTGGTGGAGGAAAATAGAGACACAGGGATGCAGAGCAGGGATGCCTTTTCATCGTTCTTTCAATCTGATACCTGGAGAGATTCCAACAGAGGAGAGGAGAAGAAGGGCCTGATGCTCACTTTCCTTCCAGGCATGAGGGCTCTATGTGGCCGGAGTCCGGAGGTCTTGTCCCCTGACAGCCCTCTCTGTATTCTGTAGTGTGACTCCACTTCCCTACCTCAAGTGCTCTCTGGGCTGTGCACCCACCCACACTGGGCTCTCTTTCTTTCCATGCCCCTGCCTCTGTTGAAAGCCCTCTCCCTACTTCTCTTTGCCCTGTCAATCCCTACACATACTTTAGAGCCCAGCTCAACTGCCGCCTTCTCAGGAAGCAAGCTTCTCCTGATTTCCCAACTACCTGCAGTTTCTTTACATGCTCTCATGGTGAAGTGAAAATTGAACATTTATTTCTATTCTTACTTGATTCATGCCCACTAGACTTTGAGACCCATGAAGATGGGCAGTGCCTCACTCAGAGCCTGGCACATGGTAGGTGTTCCCTAAGTATTTGTAGGCTGGATGGATAAATGGGTGGATGGATGAGTATTCAGAAGCAGGTACAATGGTCCGTGGTTTGCCCAATGTGCTGAAGAAGCAAGGGCTTTAGCTTCGCTATTGCCTCGAAGTAGCTATGTTCAGAAGCTTTAGATCTCTGGGCAAAATACCCACATACATAGTGAGAAGAGGCATGACAGAAATGTAGGGCATTCGTGTAGCCCTAGTGTGCACACACACTCACTCTCATGTGCACCCTACATATCCCTCTTCCCCCAAAGATAACAAATTTTGGGCTTCTTGGTTGTTGTGCATCGGTTTGCCCCTTTGAAAGATCTACCCCTTCCTCTTCAATTCACCTCAGTTCCCTAGTTCTGACACATCAGGCTCTGCCTCTGCTTCTCTGCTCATGAGACCTCCTGCCGGCGACCTATGTGATGGGACCCCACACCCAGCTTTTGGAAACTGCCACCTGCTTGCTCCATATATCTGCTTTCTGGGTTCTCCACCCTCTGCTTTTCTTCTCATTAGTCCAAAGTCATGTGGAATTGGTGTCTGGACATCCTGAATTTCAACCCAGTTTCTCCATGATGTTGAGATGCCCTTTATTACTGTTTCTTGTTTGTCCATTTCCACGAGATGACAATGCATACAGGGAACCTCATCTCCCAGTGTCATGGTGAAGACTCACCTGTACTCAAGATTCCTTTCCTGTTGCTAGAGGTTCTTCATAAATCGTATTCAGTATACTGAGATCTTTGAACGATAAGACCATACCCAGTTGGAGAACACTGTGAAATCCCTACTTTTCTAACATTTTCAGAATTAAGCATGCAGTGAAAATGGTTCGCCTATTCAGGAGATATTGGCCATTAACCCAGACAGATGCTCACAAATAATGTCTTGCACTCACTGTATAATAATGAGTGCTATTAAATATGAATGACCTCATTTGTCCTCCTGGCATGTGTGTCCCATAGAGAGTGACACATATGTATATCGTCATTTAGCATCTGGAGAAACTATAGCCTAGACAGGTTAAGTGATTTCTATCAACTCCCAAGGCTAACTATTAGGTGTTGAATCTTGAGAAGGCATTGCACTGGCCAGACTTGAGTTGTAAAAGTTGTAAATTATAGTGATGATAGAATAAGAAGCCAAAATATATACACTGATGTGGATCAACAGAGTTGGAGCTAGGTCAGGAGGGGACACAGCACACACAGTAAAAACAGGAGAGGAGCTGATCAGGAACTAAGAATTTAGCGTATAGAGGAGTCATTGTGCCTCAGGGCATAAAGAGAGAAGCTCTAAAGCATGCTTCTCAAAGTGTAATATATATCCAGAACTCCTAGGAGTCTAATGAAAACCCAGATTCTGATTTGGGAGGTCAGAGATAAGTCCTGGAACTCTACATTTCTTCTTCTTCTTCTTCTTCTTCTTCTTCTTCTTCTTCTTCTTCTTCTTCTTCTTCTTCTTCCTCTTCCTCTTCCTCTTCTTCTTCCTCTTCTTCTTCCTCTTCCTCTTCCTCTTCCCCTTCCCCTTCCCCTTCCCCTTCCCCTTCCTCTTCCTCTTCTCCTTCTTCCCCTTCTTCCCCTTCTTCCCCTTCTTCCCCTTCTTCTTCTTCTTCTCCTCCTCCTCCTCCTCCTCCTCCTCCTCCTCCTCCTCCCCTTCCTCCCCTTCCTCTTCTCCTTCTCCTCCTCCTCCTCCTTCCCCTTCCTCTTCCCCTTCTTCTTCTTCTTCTTCTTCTTCTTCTTCTTCTTCTTCTTCTTCTTCTTCTTCTTTTCTTCTTCTTTTCTTCTTCTTCTTCTTCTTTTCTTCTTCTTCATTTCTTTAGAGTTAGGGTCTCACTCTGTTGCCCAGGCTAGAGTGCAGTGGCACAATCATGGCTCACTGCAGCCTTGTACTCCTGGGCTCAAGTGATCCTCCCACCTCAGCCTCCCAAGTAGCTGGGACTATAGGCACATGCCACCATGCTTGGCTAAGTTTTTTTTTTTTTTTTTTTTTTTTTTTTTTTTTTTTTTTTAAACTATTTTAGAGACAGGGTCTTGCTGTGTTTTCCAGGCTGGTCTTCAACTCCTGACCTCAAGCAATCCTCCTCCCTCAGTCTCCTGAGTCACTGGGATTACAGGTACGAGCCACCATGCCCAATGTATTCTGCATTTCTAACAAGTTTCCATGTGATGCTGGTGCTATTGGCACTGGATCACTGTGAATAGCAAGGGTCTTAGCCCTGGATGGGATTAAAGAAGACCTTGTGTCAATAGGGCTCCTCTTACCTGAAGTCTCTTTTGAAAGCTCCATATCTACTTTCTCAGTAGGGTCTTCCTACATTCTAGGGCTGGAAAGGTGATGGTGGTCAGTGGGGAATACTAGGCTATGCCCAGGTCCTGGAAATTGACCAATGATTTTTCTCCTAGATTACGTTAGCAACAACCCTACTTTTTGAAGATTGGGAATAATTTTTCCCCTGCAATGATTAATTCAATTGGAAGGGAAAAGAACTCCTTGCCATTGGTCTCTTTGTGAAGGACAAAGCATGTATTTGTTCACAGAGTTGAAATAAATAATAGAAAACAAGTTTTCCTGAAAGTATTTACAGCCAAGAGCCTCACTAAAACATCCACTACACAAACACTCTGTCTTCAGCAAGCCAGAGCCAAGTCAACGTTAAACTTCTCGGCAGCCAGTGGCTCCATGCCACTTCAGTTTGCCAAGGGAGTGATGAAGGATGCCCAGAATGGAGAGCAAAACCTTGCAGAGAGACAGCAAATTATGGCATCAACTTAATGGAAATCTCAAATGTTCACCCAGAGGCTGACAGCTTCTGTGCTCCCAACAGCCCATAGGGTTTGCTGTGTAGCCACTAAAAAGAGAAATCAAAGTCCAGTAGGGAGAGAGCTTCACAGGTTAGGGCCATGCAGGCTGAGAAATAGATACATACATCCATAGCTTGGGGCACTGTGCTTCAGAGAATCAGAGACAGTCTTGCACTGGTGATTTTGGATTTTTCTAACAGCAGAACTCAATAGTATTAGGATAGGTTCACTGTTCACCAAGAATTAATCTGATGAATATTTTACCCCCCTTAGGTGAAAATGTTCTTAGTAGTGGACCCACCTCATTCATACAAATGCAGACCTATAGTCTGATTCTAAATAATTGGTCCTCTGAACATATCCTGTGATAAGCCTAAAGTATACACAAACTTGCTTGGTAATAGTCTTGGGCAACATGCAGTAGGACCGAGAGTAAGGGAAGTCTCATTCTCTGCTCTTACAAACAACCACCTGGAGACTGCATCTCATCCAACTCCCCAGCCTTGAAAGAGACACTACAATCTACAAACTCAGGCCTAGAAGGCACAAAGAATATGGTTAAACTGCATCAGTTTAACCATCTTCATCTTTCTTTCTTTTTTTTTTTTATTATACTTTAAGTTTTAGGGTACATGAGCACAACGTGCAGGTTAGTTACATATGTATACATGTACCATGGTGTGCTGTACCCATTAACTTGTCATTTAACATTAGGTATATCTCCTAATGCTATCCCTCCCCCCTCCCCCCACCCCTCAACAGGCCCTGGTGTATGATGTTCCCCTTCCTGTGTCCATGTGTTCTTATTGTTCAATTTCCACCTATGAGTGAGAACATGCGGTGTTTGGTTTTTTGTCCTTGCGATAGTTTGCTGAGAATGATGGTTTCCAGCTTCATCCATGCCCCTACAAAGGACATGAACTCATCATTTTTTATGGCTGCATAGTATTCCATGGTGTATATGTGCCACATTTTCTTAATCCAGTCTATCATTGTTGGACATTTGGCTTGGTTCCAAGTCTTTGCTATTGTGAAGAGTGCCACAATAAACATACATGTGCATGTGTCTTTATAGCAGCATGATTTATAATCCTTTGGGTATATACCCAGTAATGGGATGGCTGGGTCAAATGGTATTTCTAGTTCTAGATCCCTGAGGAATCGCCACACTGTCTTCCACAATGGTTGAACTAGTTTACAGTCCCACCAACAGTGTAAAAGTGTTCCTATTTCTCCACATCCTCTCCAGCACCTGTTGTTTCCTGACACTTTTTAATGATCGCCATTCTAACAGGTGTGAGATGGTATCTCATTGTGGTTTTGATTTGCATTTCTTTGATGGCCAGTGATGGTGAGCATTTTTTCATGTGTCTTTTGGCTGCATAAATGTCTTCTTTTGAGAAGTGTCTGTTCATATCCTTCGCCCACTTTTTGATGGGGTTGTTTTTTTCTTGTAAATTTGTTTGAGTTCATTGTAGATTCTGGATATTAGCCCTCTGTCAGATGAGTAGATGCAAAAATTCTCTCCCATTCTGTAGGTTGCCTGTTCACTCTGATGGTAGTTTCTTTTGCTGTGCAGAAGCTCTTTAGTTTAATTCGATCCCATTTGTCAATTTTGGCTTTTGTTGCCATTGCTTTTGGTGTTTTAGACATGAAGTCCTTGCCCATGCCTATGTCCTGAATGGTATTGCCTAGGTTTTCTTCTAGGGTTTTTATGGATTTAGGTCTAACATTTAAGTCTTTAATCCATCTCGAATTAATTTTTGTATAAGGTGTAAGGAAGGGATCCAGTTTCAGCTTTCTACATATGGCTAGCCAGTTTTCCCAGCACTATTTATTAAACAGGGAATCATTTCCCCATTTCTTGTTTTTGTCAGGTTTGTCAAAGATCAGATAGTTGTAGATGCGTGGTATTATTTCTGAGGGCTCTGTTCTGTTCCATTGATCTATATCTCTGTTTTGGTACCAGTACCGTGCTGTTTTGGTTACTGTAGCCTTGTAGTATAGTTTGAAGTCAGATAGCGTGATGCCTCCAGCTTTCTTCTTTTGGCTTAGGATTGACTTGGAAATGCGGGCTCTTTTTTGGTTCCATATGAACTTTAAAGTAGTTTTTTCCAATTCTTTGAAGAAAGTCATTGGTAGCTTGATGGGGATGGCATTGAATCTATAGATTACCTTGGGCAGTATGGCCATTTTCACGATATTGATTCTTCCTACCCATGAGCGTGGAATGTTCCATCTTCATCTTTCATTCTCAGTCTCCTTGCAAAGCCAGTAGTAGTCTTGGGCTGTGGAATCAGTTTCTTAGTAGGAGTAGTAAATCACCTCACATAGGGTTTGAGCCTACCAATTAATACCCTGAGACTGCCTTTGCCAACAAAGCTCACTAAACAGATTGGTCTAAGTAGGATAAATACTAATCAGAAAACAGCATCTCTAATATGTAAAATCTGCAAAGAGTTCATCATTTGGTAGAAGCTCAGAAGCAGAGAAGACCTGTGGATTTAGAGGACATCACATCATGACAGTGAGCCACAGGAAGCAAGTGTTGTTGGAAATGTCTGACCTCTTTGAAGGTCAATTGGGTTTTGCATTAGACAGTGGGCCACAAATTAGAGATCTTGAGCAAATTCCTTAGTCTCTCTGGACCTTGATTTCTCATCTATAAAATAATCTTAAAGGCCTTCACTTCCAGCTCTGATATTCTAATTTTTCTGGGCTTGGAAAACCATGCTCCCAGAGCTGCCTCTGATCTGCGTGCTGTTCTGAGACCATTGCTTGATGTCTTTAAGCTCTCTTTTCCCTCTAGCAATAGTTACCCATCAAATGTCTTATGATCATTGGTTGAAAGCTACCAGATTGAGACCGATATCTCTGTTAGTCTCTGACACTTGGATTTGGGTTCATATATGTGGAAATCAATCTCCTGTAAGGGTACAGCAGCTGAAGGCAAACCTTTTTGAAATGCTGCACTATTAACATGCCCCTTTAATGGGTTTAAAGTTTGACATCTGACTAATACCGACATGGCATATGCCTGGAGAATTACAGCCATGAGCTTGGGTAAAAACATTTTGAGTGCCCCTCCAATTTTTGTTCCTTATGGCAAATAAACCACATGATGCTCTCTTTTTAGTACTCAGCCAATGCCTGGGGGCCCCAAGGAAGAGTGGAAGATAGCTGAGGAAAGGGAGATCTGATTTATTGCTCTGATTAATCATGGAGGGCAGGCAGGCATTGCTCTGATGTTGGACTTTCTCCTGGGAAGTGTAAGAACATTATTCTCCTCATTCCTTGCACACCAAGAACATTTGCTGCTGCTTCAAGCACAGAAAGAGTTGCATAAACATTTTAATATTGCATGAGGCTTGTATAAGACTGACTGAGTATGTGAATGCTAAACCCTGACACATAAAGAGACAGAGAGAGAGAGACTGGTAAAGACCTAAGATTGTCTTTTTTTTTTTTTTTTAAATCAACTGGTGATGCTGTCTGTAGTAACTCAGAATATTTTGATGATTCTCATTGGAGAATTTTGTCATTGTGATATATCAAAGCCCATGATAGATCAAGCCCAAACACCACAAACTGCAGACGTATTTCCTATTTTTGCTTGATTTTTCACACACAAAAAAGTCATAAAATCACAGGCACACTCTTTCTTTTTCTGTAATAGTTTGGATTTTGCTGTTGGATTTCTACTACCCCATATGGAGAGGCTGGCTTTAAAGAGATTTCAGAACTCAGGTCTATGTGTCCTTCCTACAGAATAGCAGGCCATGGCAGAGATGCTAGGGGGTGGGGAGGGGCACTGCAGGGAAGGACAGTTGCAGGTGGGCACCTGTCACCTGAAAGAGCCCCAGGAGAGCAGTTGTGTAGGGAAAACTTAACTTGTTTGGTTTAGCATTCAGAGAGTCACAAGACCATGTCATGGGTTACCAGGCACTGTCAGTCATGCTACCAGAGCCTCTAGAACATCTTTCCATAGTCACTCTGTTCTAACCCCTACCACCTAAACATCCAATTGCCCTTTTTGTTGTTTTGATTCTAACTTCTCAGTATTTCTCAGATGCTTCATCTGATGCTTTCTTCATCTCAATCCCAGTCCAAGTTCAGATCATCTCTGCCTGGACCACTGCACTGGCCTCTTTGTTTCTTTTACCTTCATCTGTCGAATCTTTGGTACACAACGATTTAAAAAAAAAAACACACAAAATGATCTTTTCAAGACAAAAACTTAATTCTATCACAATCATGCATAAAATCACTCAATGATTTTCTCTAGGATTCCTTTAGAAGTCATCATCCTTAATCTGGAGTTTGAAGCCCTCCAGATCTGCCTCCAACCTACTCTCCAGCTTCACCTGCCAGTATTCCCTGCCTTGCATGCTATGGCCTAGCCCTGTTGTCTTTCTTTCTGTTCCTTGAACATACCAAGGTCTCTCATTCCTCTGGCTCTTTACATACACTGTGATATATATTTACTTCTCAGCCTTTCCTCCTTCCTTGATTGTAAATTCATTAAGACATGGACCAAACCATACTCATCTTGCTTGTTGTTATGGCCCAGGACCTAACAGGGAATCTGACCACACAATAGGCACTTAATACATATATGATGAATGAATGGATGGACAGATGAAGAGATGAAGCAGATGTATTAGTCTATTTTCATGCTGCTGATAAAGACATACCTGAGACTGGGCAATTTACAAAACAAAGAAGTTTAATGGACGTAAATTTCCACATGGCTGGGGAGACCTCACAATCATGGTGGAAGGCAAGGAGGAGAAAGTCACTTCTTACATGGATGGCAGCAGGCAAAGAAAGAGAACTTGTGCAGGGGAACTCCTCTTTATAAAACCATCAGATCTCATGAGCCTTACTCACTATCATGAGAACAGCACAGGAAAGACTTGCTCCCATGATTCAATTACTTCCCACCAGGTCCTTCCCACAATACGTGGAAATTCAAGATGAGATTTTGGTGGGAACATAGCCAAACCATATCATTCCACTTCTGGCCTCTCCCAAATCTCATGTTCTCACATTTCAAAACAATCATGCATTCCCAACCATCCCCCAAAATCTTAATCCATTTCAGCATTAACTCAAAAGTCCACAGTTCAACATCTCATCTGAGACAAGGCAAGTCCCTTCTGCCTACGAGCCTGTAAAATCAAAAGCAAGTTAGTTACTTCCTAGATACAATGGGGGTACAGGCATTGGGTAAATACAACCATTCCAAATGGAAGAAATTGACCAAAACAAAGGGGCTACAGGCCCTGTGCAAGTTTGAAATCCAGCCAGGCAATCAAATCTTAAATCTCCAAAATGATCTCCCTTGACTCCGTGTCTCACATCCAGGTCACACCTGCAAGAGGTGGGCTCCCACAGCCTCGGACAGCTCTGCCTCAGTGGCTTTGCAGGGTACAGGCCCCCTCCCAGCTGCCTTCACTAGCTGGCATTGAGTGTCTGTGGCTTTTCCAGGCTCATGGTGCAAGCTGTCAGTGGATTTACCATTCTGGGGCCTGGAGGACAGTGGCCATCTTCTCACAGCTCCACTAGGTGGTGCCCCAGTAGGGATTCTGTGTGGGGGCTCCAACCCCACATTTCTCTTCTGCTCTGCCCTAGCAGAGGTTCTCCATGAGGGACCTTCCCCTGCAGCAAACTTCTGCCTGGACATCCAGGCATTTCCATGCATCTTCTGAAATCTAGGCAGAGGTTCCCAAACTTCAATTCTTGACTTCTGTGTACCTGCAGGCTCAACACTACATGGAAGCTGCTAAGGTTTGGGGCTTCCACCCTCTGAAGTCATGGCCCAAGCTATACCTTGGCTCCTGTTAGTCATGACTGGAGTGGCTGAGATGCAGGGCACCAAGTCCCTAGACTGCACACAGCATGGGACCCTGGGCCCAGCCCACCAAACAATGTTTTCCTCCTAGGCCTCTGGGCCTGTGATGGGGGGAGGAGGGGCTGCTGTGAAGACCTCTGACATGCCCTGGAGACATTTTCCCCATTGTCTTGGGGATTAATATGCAACTCCTTATTACTTATGCAAATTTCTACAGCTGGCTTGAATTTCCCCTCAGAAAATGGGATTTTCTTTTCTATCACATTGTCAGGCTGCAAATTTTCTGAACTTTTATGCTCTGCTTCCTTATGAAACTGAATGGTTTTTAACAGCACCAGAGTCACCTTTTGAATGTTTTGCTGCTTAGAAATTTCATCCACCAGATACCCTAAATCATCTCTCTCAAGTTCAAAGTTCCACAAATCTCTGGACCAGGGGCAAAATGCCACCAATCTCTTTGCTAAAACATAACAAGAGTCACCTTTGCTGCAGTTCCCAACAAGTTCCTCATCTCCATCTGAGACCCTCCTCAGCTGGATTTCATTGTCCATATCATTATCAGCATTTTGGTCAAAGCCATTCAACAAGTCTTTAGGGAGTTCCAAAGTTTCCCACATTTTCCTGTCTTATTCTGAGCCCCCCAAACTGTTCCAGCCTCTGCCTGTTACCCAGTTCCAAAGTCGCTTCCACATTTTTGTGTATCTTTTCAGCAGCACCCCACTCTACTGGTACCAATTTACTTTATTAGCCCATTTTCATGCTGCTGATAATGATATATCTGAGACTGGGCAATACACAAAATAAAGAAATTTGATGGACTTACAGTTCCACGTGGCTGGGGAGGCCTCACAATCATGGCAGAAGGCAAGCAGGAGCAAATCATGTCTTACATGGGTGGCAGCAGGCAAAAAAAGAATTTGTGCAAGGGAACTCATCTTTATAAAACTATCAGATCTCATGAGACTTATTCACTATCAGGAGAACAGCATGGGAAAGACTTGCCCCCATGATTCAGTTACCTCCCATGGGGTCCCTCCCATAACACGTGGAAATTCAAGATGAGTTTTGGGTGGGGACACAGTCAAACCATATCAGCAGAGAAGGGAGTCAATGTCTGGAACAGTATCTTTCTATTATATCTCCCTCCATGTAGAATCATTGAATTCGGAAATAAAAGCCAGAACTGAGAGAGTCCTTAGGAAGAATATAACCAACAGCCTCACTTGATAGGTGAGGAAACCAAGGCTGTGAGAAGTCCAGTGATTCGTTGCACATTACACAGTCAGCTAATGGGCAAGGACTATAATCCAGCTCTCCTAATGCCTATTGCAGTAACTCTTCTGGTTCCCTTGCTGCATCCCCAAGGAGTTCATATTTGTGACTTGTAGACCTTCAGGAGATGGAAGGAATCCTTTTGTCAATTTATAAGTGAGGAACCTCACTGAGGCTCAGAGAGGCCAAGGGCCTTGCTCCAGGTCAATTTTTACACACCACTCAAGTCCTAGAGAACAGGGATGGGCATTAGCCACTGATCATAGCCACTGCTGGCTGAAATGAGGCAGCCCAGGAGCCAAAAACCATGTGACTTTGACTATACATGGAGCTACAGTGATGCTCCCTGAGCAAATGGGCAGAATTCAGACTTGGCCACATGAATTTCCCATTTCCTCTGTCCTCCTCCCACCTGAAAACTTGTTCTGCCTTTGTCTCCCCTCTGCCTAAGTACCCTGGGACTTTAGTTCTCTAGGCTGATCCTATAAACTGCCAGCAGGTGCTAGGTAATGGTCTAAGAACAACCAGGTTGGGAGCCAAGGCCTTTTGATTTCAGATCTCCTCGTTAGATAGGGGGCAGGGATGAGGCCTTGGATTATTCGCCATTCAGTCCTTTGACTCCTCCCTCTGCTGAATCAGGTGGCATTGGGACTTGGGAGCTGATTTTACTGGATTATTGGAGAAATGTGCATAAAATCCTTTGGACTCTTTAGGGAAAAGGACAATAGAAGTTCCAGACATCCTTATTATCTCATTCTGCAGAAGAAGGCCTGATTTCAGGTTTAGAAGCTAAGCATACAGGGCCTGAGAGAGCTTCCTGAGGTCCCTTTCCTTTCTAATAGGTAGGAAGGAATGTCCAGACAATGTGTGCAATAGCCACCTCAGAGTGGCCCTTCAACCCCTGAATCCCCAGTCTGTGCTCATCTTCGGAAAGGCTACAGTGGGAAGGGCAGTTCAGACAAGATTGATTTTCCACTTAATCCTGGCTGGCAGGCAGGAGATTGAGTTTCCCTTCTCTTCCCCCAGGCCTGAGGAATGGGAACAGCTGAGGGAGGCCAGGACAATTCAATTGGTGAAATGCATTCCAGAGGTCTTCCTCTTAATGCCAGGAGGATGTCAGGAGCAGAGTGATCTGGAGCAATCGAGTGCCCCAGAACCCCTACAGATGCCCTTCATCAGGGGAAGGTGGCCAGGGCTGGGGATGGCACCAGCTTCCTTTTCACTCTCATTTGTGGGGGTTGGTCTTGGACCTTTCAGGGCAGCAGGACTGAATTTCAGGGATTGCACCTTCTCACCAGGATATGAGAACCTCTTGGCCCTCAAATTCAGGTGCTCTTCACTTCGATCTGTGCAAGAGAGATTTATCAAAATTGGTGCTTGTCCCCTTCCCCGAGAAAGTCTTCCCAAGTGGTAGATCCTTGAGGGGAGGGGAGATGAGTGTGGGTTCAGAGAGGGCAGAGGAGAGTAAAACCAAGCTAGAGCCTGAGAGAGAAGCAGTCTCCCCCTAGTGACTCAGAGGGCCACCTCCCTAGAAACTATAACACCGAGGGTAGGAGAAGATGGGTGGTTGGTGGGGAGAGCACCCGCCATTATTCTCACAACCTTCCTCTTCTTCCTCTGGCAACAGTGGGTGGGAAAACAGAAGGTGGGTTCCATGTGATGCCACCTTCCCCTAGTGCCACTGTGACACTTGATTTGGCAGTAGTCTCGATCCCCTCCTCTAGTGGAGGCTTCAGCCAGACACCCGCCCTCACTCGGGCAAGCTCCAGGTAGAATAAGCATGCTATCCACTAGCTCCTTCTTCTCCACACAGCATCACTCTGCTCTACCCCCAACCCCTGAGAACAACATGTATCCCCAAAACAAGTGTGCTGAGGTCAAAGGCTGCAGGCCTCTGAGAGTCAGGAACAGAAGGAGAAGGGGAAAGAGAACACTGTAGGAGCAGTAGCTCCAGCTCTCTGAGTCCCATTTGGCAAGTGCTGGGTTGGTTCTCCAACATCACATCACTTCTGTTCTTCTAAGAGGAAGATTAGTTAAGGGACTCAGGTCACAAAACCAGTCAGTGGCAAAGCCAGGGTCAGACCCAGCACTTCCAGGCTCCAGAGTCTATGTCTTGTAAGTGTACTAAGAAGACAAGAATCTCATGAATCTTCATCTTCTCTCATGGCATGGGACGTGCTTCTTTTTCAGCTGGATCCCTATCCTCTTTCAGTTTTGTACATTGCTCAGGCTTTCAGAAAACATCTATTTGATGTTTTCAAGACCAATGTATTGGTTATCTACTGCAGCATAACAAATTCCCCCAAAACTTAGTGGCTTAAAAATACAGCAACATCTGTGACATTATAGTTTGGGTAGGTTCGGCATCTAGGAACACCCTAGCTAGATGGTTCTGGCTCAGGGTCTTTTCTGAGGTTGCAGTCAAGCTGTTGGTCAAGGCTGCAGTCATCTGAGGGCTTCAATGGAGCTGGAGAATCTGCTTCCATAATGGCTCATTGGCATGTCCTCACTTCCTCCCTGTGTGGACTTCTCCATAAGGCTGCTTAACTGAGCTCATGGCGTGGCAGCTGGTTTCTCCCTGAGCAAGTGGTCCAAGAGAGGACAAGGAGGAAGCTGCAATGCCTTCTGTAACCTAATCCTGTAAGTCACATACTGTCACTGACACCATATTCTATTCATTAGAAGATAGTCGCTAAGGCTGGCTCGCTTTCACAGAGGAAGGAATTATGCTCCATCTCTTGAAGAGAGGAATACCAAAGAATCTGTGGATGTATTTAAAAACCATCACGCTCTGTTACCCAAGGCACCCCAGTCTTAGGGATAGATGTTTTGTTTTCCTGTCTTGTGCCAAATGAATATGGGAATTGCCTGTTCCTCACCTGCATTGGGGCCCAAACCCAAGAAAGACACATTTCATTCTGTTCTATCCCTGTAGGATCATGGATTGGGGAATGTGGATGGTGGAAGGCAAGCAGTCACTTCCAGTAACACCTTTTAGTGACCTGCTGACCATGGGGAGTCTAGCACAGGAGCTGAAACATTCAGAACAAAGTCCTTTCAGCAAATAAGAACAAAAACAAACAAAAAAACACATGCAACAGCTCTGAGTTTACTTGTTTTAACCATTTCCTAATGCTCCAACATAAATTTATTTTCATTCAGTTGGTAAGATCAATTTGCTAAGAAACTTTTTATGGCAATGAATTTTACTCTACACCATGGGAGAATGCAGTCAGCGGTGAAAACACCTGGGTGAGCAGGAGTCCAGGGCATCGCCCAGTCATCCCTCTCATGGTAATAATAACACTCAGAGAACACGCGCAAGCCAGCAGTGTTTCAAGCAGTATTAGCTAATCTGCTTCACACAAGAATCCTGTGAAGTAAGTGCTATAACTCATCCTACAGATGAGGAGACTGAGATATGAAGAAGCTGTGTAACGTATTCCATGTGAATTGAGCAGCAGAGCAAACCTAGGCAGTAGTGACTGCAGAATCTGGGCTCTTAGGCATTCTTAGTGCTTTACACATAGCCCTGGATGAAAAAAACAGGAATAAAACAGTGTTTCTCAGTTTGTAATGTGAACATGAATCTCCCGGAGTCTGGGGGATCCTGTTAAAAATGCAAATTTGGATTCAATAGGTTCTGGTTGGAGGCTGAGATTCTTTATTTATAACAGGCTCCCTGATGATCCTGATTGGAGGGACGGGAGAGGCAGGAACTACACTTTCAGCAACAAGATGTCTCCTCCCTTCCCCCATATTTCTTTTCCTGGGGGCAGTATTTCTCCACTCTGGCTGGACTTGGGATCACAGGTATGGTGGTAAAGTGGAGGATGTGGATATTAAAGAAAAAGCAAACCTTCTGCCTATGTGCCACCCTCAGAAGTTCTGATTCACTTGGTCTGGGGTGCCTTCCAAAGGAAGTAGGTTTTAAAAGCATCCCAGGTGATTCTCACATGCAGCTAGAGTGCAGAACCAAGACCCTAGGTGTCAAGCTGCATATTACTAATGATATCTCTGCAGCCCCACCCAATCCAGAACCTGACCAGTCTCATTTCCCTTTGCAGAAACTGTGGCCAGGGCCGCCTCACGCTGTGCCAGCCACAGTCAAACCCTATATCTGCTACTGCGCTGCTGGAGGCACGGTGGACAGAAAAGTTTGATGCTATATTTCTTATGCAACGGAATATTCTTGGAGCACTAACAGGCTGCCTTGCTTTGGGGGCGAACAGCAGGCGCTGCAGATTGAGGCTCCAGAGCTGGGCCAGCGTGGAAAACCTGCGCGCTGTTCCCAGCCAGCGTGTTGGGTATGCAAGGCACGCGCCGGGCCGGGCTTCCTCTAACGTCTCATTTTGCATAACACTTTTTGTTTTCATTATGCCTAAATTTGGCCTGCCCAGAGAGCGTGATTAAAATGAAAACCTTATTCTAATAGAGCTCGGGAAATGAAAGAAGAAATCTAAAAATAGGCCAGGGAAAAGGGAAAAACTCAAACGGTATAATGACCAAATTGCTTCAAACACACACACTTGCAGTCATTTCTCTTCGAGAGAGAGAAAACAGCAGTGACATCCATGCAGGTGTTTGTATAATCCGGGTCACATCAAAACTCCTGTCAGTTTTATAAATTCACAACTCTGGGAAAAATGGAAGCAAACAGTAATAGGAGATAATAAGAGGAATAATAAGTCTGACTCCCTGCCTCTCGCACAGTGGAGTTTGGCGAGCCAAGAGGGTATCTGTAATGCACTTTGTTCTCTGTGGAGAAACACTGGATGGCGAGAGGAAATACAGCGTTAGTATTCTAGCACAGGCCTGATGAGGACTGGCCATAAGCGCTTGGTTTTTGGCTTCATTTCTTGCTTTCTCTAAAATTAGATAATCCAGTCTTAAGAGCTCAGTTTAAACAATTTCTATAGAAGGCATCCTCTAGTTCCCTGGCCCAAGTTAAGGCCTCCAGCTCTAAGTTCCGAGAATTCCTTCCATTTCCGCATCAGGGGGCTCTTTTCTCTTCATTACTTTTGTTTAATCTGTGTGTGTTTAGCTCTGCCCTGCATCTATGTGGACTTGGACAAAACACAGTGGTATGTATAAAGGGAGGAAGAGAGGAATGGAGGAAGGGAGGGACGGAGGGCGGGTCCTTGGGCAAACCATTTAAATTCCCTGAGCTTCTGTTTCCAAGTCAGTATAATGGTAGTGGAGAAGAATTTGGGCAGATGATCCCTAAGCACTCTTTCTGTTTTGACTCTCCATTGTGAAACTTTCAGTTTTTCCAACCTGCGGGTCCCCTCCACTGGGACAGAGTGGTTGGCTGGACAGACAAGTGGCAGAAGACATGGCCCAGCCATGTTGCTCACAGGCACAGATAAGGCCAATAGAAAAGATGCCATCTTGCAGTCACGTTGTTTATTCACCTCTCATCTTGTCCCCCACTCCAACCATGCAGTATGATTTATAATTTGTCCTAGTTAAAACTGAGATCCATGAAAGCTGACCTATCCAGTTGTCACAGAGAAATCAAAGAAAGGACTAGGACTAAGATCAGTATTCAGGTCACCACCCACCCATCCCCCACACCCCACCGCTTAGTGTGACACACCCACCTCCTCTTGTATGTAAACCTTGAACTCCCACCTGGTTGGTCTCAGGCTGGAGCAATAAGTGGCAGTGTTGAAGCTGTGTGACCTTGGGCAGGTTACTACTGAAGCTCCCCATGCTTCCATCGTGTCCTCTGTAAAAGAGGAATGGACAGTTTTCTACCTCCTAGGGTTGTTGTGAGGATGTAATGAGTTCATACGCACAAAGCACTTAAAACAGGACCCAAAGTTAGGCACTCAATAAATGTCAGCTCTTTTTATTGTTCCCTCTCTCTTGCATATTCCTGTCTCAGCCTCTGTGCCTTTATTCATGAGCTCCCACTCCTCTATTGAAATCTGATTCAGCTTTCAAGGCCTAGCCCCTCATAGACCATACATCACATCCCGTCAGGCTGGGAGGAGCTGTGCAGATAATTAAATCCAACCCCCTAATTTTACAGATGAGAAGTCAGAGGCACAGAGAGGCACAGCCAATTGCTCAAGGTCGCAGAGCCAGGTGGTGTGGAGCTGGCTAGAAACCAAGGGGGACCGACCTTGTGGCCCAGACTTTCCTTCCAACACTGGACAGCCTCCCTCTTTGGAACTCAGAGCTGTTATTGTCGGCATCTTTCCTCTGGTGCTTGCTCTCTTGGGAAGGCTTTTTTATTAGCGTATAATTAGTAAACACTTTTAGAATCGCCTTTCTTGATGAATCCTTCATCCCCTGCCTGCTGGGCATGTTGCTTTGTACAAAGTAGGCATTCACTGATAATAATAATAATAATAAGGTCTATTGGATTAGGAGGCCACTGTTTACAAAGCACTTTCATATATGTATGTAAGTATCTCATCGATGCAACAACCCGTGAGGCAGAGATTATTTTTATCTCCTCTAGAGAGAAGGAAACAGGTTTAGAGAAAGGAAGAGCTTGCTCAGAACCACCCAGCCCTCACCCAGGTGAACCTCTGTCTGCAAATGTCCCTGTTATTCCTGCTTGCCTGAATGAATGAATCTATTACTTAATGTTTCATGTGGATTTGTTTTGTTTCCTTAACTAGAAAGCTTGAGCTGTGTGTTAAAAATACTTTATCTTCTCGAATAGCCTACAGTAATCACAGCAGATTCATAATGTGTACTTGTGGAAGAAATTAGGCAGTTTTCTACCAGCGCCTCCAACCCCAAGGAGACAGGGTCTGTCCAGACACACAAATGCCGTTGGCCATGTGGCCCTAATTCACTTGCTTCCCGGTCTTGTGTTTCTCATTCTTCCCTGTAAAATGTGATTAAAGCTATTTGCCTCCTTTCAAATTCTTTGAGAACAGGCTGGTAACTAAACATTCATGGACTCCTTACACAAAGGGACTGTAAACACAAAGCCAGGAGAAAGAGTGTATATGGAATTTCCAGGGCCTCAGTTTTGGGTCAGTGTCTCAGGGGCGCATCAGGTAGCAGAAGTTGGAGGACAGTGGACAGGAGGTACGAGGAGGCATCTGGCCAACCCATTCCTGGTCCTTGTTTCCTTGATCTTTCATTACATTCTTACTTCATTAATTAATAATGTCACTACTACCTTAATATTATTCATTAAAACAGTTGATTCCAGGCAACCCTGCATGGCCTCCTCTGTGAATCCCACACGAGAGACCTTTCTACAGCCCAACAGCAGGAGAGTTCCAAACAAGAACTTCTCCTTCCTCAGAGAGGGACTGGTGGAAGAAGGGGCCCGGCGCAGAGTCCCAGTGCCTCCCTCACCTTCTTTGCAACAACCAGATTTTAAACAGAACTCTTTATATTAAACATATGGTAGGCCAGGAATAGCGGGGTCACTCAGAGACTTTAATGAATAGCTCCTGCTACCCCTTCCCCTTTATTTTTAAGTAAATTAAGAAGGTTAGTAGTGACTGTATAAAATCTTTCCAGGTACTGTGCTAAATCTTTTCCAAACTTCGACTGCTGTCCTCACAACTTGCAAGTTACTGTTATCCTATTTGACAGACAAGAAGACAAAGCCTAAGAAAGCCTAAGAACTTATCCAATGTTGCACCATTATTAAGTGATAGAAGTGGGATTTAAACTCAATTTAGACAGTTTCACCAGGAATATCTGAGGTTCCAGACATACCTTGCAAAACACTCTAGATTTCTATGATTTTCCACTAATGGCCCGCACCATACTAGATGCTAGATGTTACACTGAGGCCGAGTCCGTCCACTCATTCATTCATTCATTCATTCATTCATTTCAGATTAAATTAGAGGGTTTGTAAAACCTGGCATTCTGTGATTCTAAATCACAACCACCACGACTACTGCCACTAACATTCCCTGCACTGACAGTTTACTAGTTGCTAGGCACTGTAAGTACATTTAAATTGTACTTACAATTTCTCATACCAATCCTGTGAATAGGGATTAGTCCCATTTCACATAGGAGGAAACTGAAGCTCAGATAAGTTAAATAACATGGTCAAATTCATGCAACTAGTAAAGCAGACCCAAGATTCAGGCTTAGGCATGCCTGACTCTTTTTTAGAGACAGTCTTTTTTTTTCTTTTTTTGGAGAGGGAGTCTTGCTGTGTCGCCCAGGCTGGAGTGCAGTGGTGCGATCTTGGCTCACTGCAAGCTCTGCCTCCCGGGTTCACGACATTCTCCTGTCTCAGCCTCCTGAGTAGCTGGGACTACAGGTGCCTGCCACCTCGCCCAGCTAATTTTTTGTATTTTTAGTAGAGACAGGGTTTCACTGTGTTAGCCAGGATGGTCTCGATCTCCTGACCTCGTGATCCGCCCGCCTCGGCCTCCCAAAGTGCTGGGATTACAGGTGTGAGCCACCGTGCCCGGCCTTGGTCATGCCTGACTCTTAACTCCCAAGCAGAGATGAGGTGCTTGACTGGAGAAAGGACATATATACCACCATGAAGGGAACTGGGAGGATCACCACTGGGCTGTCTGGATTAAACTCACAGCTCCACCACTTACAGTGCAGCATAACACGGACAAGTCAGTTAGCCGCTGGGCCTCAGTGCCTCTTCTATGAAACAGAATAGTATGCCTGCCTCCTAGGGTTGCTGTTAACATTTGCAGAGTGCTCAAAGTATTAGCTATTTTTGTTATTTTCTTCTTCCAGGGACCTGAGTCTGGGCTGTTGCACCCCAGGGGAGGTCAGCCCCAAGTTTCTTTATTCCTTGTACCACTGTGGGAGAAATCAGGCCCCAGACTTTGGAAGAGAGGTTTAAAGAGATAGCCTCTCGGATGTTACTGAAATATGAACTTATCCTTTCTTTCTCTCCTTAAGTTTCTTCCAGACATGACAGCCATGGACTTAATAGAATTCAATTCACTAAAATTCTATTCATTCTGGATATGAATGATAGAAGGATCTTTCCCAGGAAGCTGCTTATGGGACTGATGATATAGATGCTATTTGCCACACAATTGTGAGTTACGGGGTTCCACAAGGAGAACAGACTGAGTTTAGATGAGACACTTGGAGTCGGCAGATGTGGATGCTGTAGAGTTCAGCATCGGGTCCGGGTTACAAGCTGATATTACTACAGTGGGCCATTATTTGTGCAAGGCAGGGCCTCTCATTTTATAAAGAAACAGACACCCATATCCCTGTAAGTTCTAGGAAATTTATTTTTATGCCTCTTCTTTTTTAATATAAATAATGAATTTAGCAGGCTGTCTTGGGGGAGACAGTGACTCCTTGCTTCTGGTGTAACAAGAATATGCAACCTTGAGCCCTCAACACAGTTATTTCCTTAGCCTGCTTTCCCTCCTCCTCCTCCTCCATCCACTCCCTAATTCCCCTCAAACCCCCATTCTTAGTGCTAAGAGATTCTAGCTTGTGACATCTCTGCTGCATCTTTCTTGGGCACTTACTGCCCAGACTGAAATGGATGTTTGGCCTTTACCTAAATATGAGGTGAGGACACCTGGAAAAGACATTTTTGAATCTTCTTTGGTGCCTGGCACAGTGCGGAACCTCTAGTAGATGGGCTCAGGAAATACTGGCTGGAGAAAGGCATGAATGTGCTGTACTCTGTCGGAGTCAGCCGTATTTACTGGGATGTTCTTCAGCCTCCTCCATGAAGCTTTTCTTGATGGTGTCTTCATCTAGAAATAATGTCTTCCAGTCTGAAATCCCATGAAGTTTATCTCTTAATGGAGCATCATGCTTCACAATCTGTCATACCCAGGTCCTGGTTTCCTGGAAGGACTGTACACATCTTCAGATCAGGACCAAGTTGGCACCATCTTTATTCCCTATACAGCCCCTAGCATGGAGTCCATTAGGGAGATGTGTATGTGTGTGTGAACTTGAACAGCACATTCTAGATTGTGTGTGTGTTGGAGGGATGTACAGCCCTAGTGTCCAGCTCAGTCCTAACACATGATAAGTGATCCATGAGCATGACTACGTGAAGCCCAGGTGGGAAATGTTGTAGAGGAAATGCAGCCCTGGATGGTGGGTCCTCAGAAGTGGAGGTCTCCGGACAGGTGACCTTCTCCCCTCTATATGGCACCATCAGCCAGATCAGGGGTTCTTATGTTTCACTGGAGCCAGGCACCACCTTGGTTATACCAGTACACTCACATGTGCTTGGTAAAAGGCAAATGGAGTTTAATCTGAAACCCCATCATTTAAAAACAGGAAGGGAATTTTTTATATGTATGAAATAATAATGTAAATTCTTAGGGTGAGTGGTGCATAGAAGACACTC
Source organism: Homo sapiens (assembly GCF_000001405.40). NCBI lineage: Eukaryota > Metazoa > Chordata > Mammalia > Primates > Hominidae > Homo > Homo sapiens. The sequence continues at coordinate 29,812,494 of NC_000002.12, read as the reverse complement.
AGCAGTTGTTAGTAGCCTTATTTCCCTCCTCTCAGGGGTGTGTTGCAGTCAGCTCACCCAGTGCCCCGAGACCTAATTGTACACAACTCTTTCTGACTCCATGGAGTGAGTTTTTGTTGGTAGCTAGAAATTGATGATGGCGGGGGTATTTATGCTATAGAAACCAGCAAATACTACAGAGCAGAGCTTACCTCCTCTCTTACCCTCTTACCCAAAGCTGGTTGTTAAACATTTACCATTGGCTGCTCCCATCCCCCACCCCGGCAGGCTTAGATGCTGTGTGCTTGGCTTTGTTGTGTGTAGCTGTGATTGGGCACAACACCTGAGATCTGTGAAGGAGATATGGGTGAGTATGGACCAGGATGTAGA